>NC_000001.11:51372016-51523531 GCF_000001405.40 Homo sapiens | reverse complement strand
ATTCCCAGCTTTGTCATTATGAATTTGGACAAATTCTTCTTCTGTTAAAAAAAAAAGATTAAAAATAACCCTTGTAGAGCTGTTTTGAGGAATAAATGAAATAATGCACATTAAAGCAGCAATTTGTCTGGGTGCGGTGGCTCACACCTATAATCCCAGCACTTTGGGAGGCTGAGGCAGGAGGATGACTTGAGCCCAGGAGTTGAAGACCAGCCTAGGCAACATAGCAAGACACTGTCTCAAATAAAATAAATAAATAAATAAAACAAAAAAAAGAAAACAGCAATTGTTGGTTATTAGTATTCAGATTTAAGTCATCAGATACAACTTTGTTTACCTAGGGAACATCTACTTTTTCAATGACAGGGATATGTCAGTTGTTCAAAGCACCCTTATTCTTATTTATTTATTTATTTTTATTTGATTGATTTTAAAAAAATAGAGACGAGGTCTCACTATGTTGCCCAGGCTGGTCTTGAACTCCTGGGCTCATGCAATCCTCCTGCCTCGGCCTTCCAGAGTGCTAAAATTACAAATGTGAGCCACCTGGTCTGGTCTGGCAGACCCATTCATGTAACTAATATATCTGTCAAACCAACTTAGTTGTTGGAGGGTTGCCTGAAGGGTAGAGAGTTAAATGGTGATCTTGAAGAATGGTATCTTATAGCTGCTACTTATTGAACATCTATTCCAGGCCAGTCTCTCTGATAGGCCATTATACATGAGCTCTAATCCTTAAACCATCCATACAAAGTAGATATTATTATCTTCAATGTAATCATGAGGAAAATGAGGCTTAGTGACCCAGAGACATTAAGTTGTCCTAGAAAAAACAGATAAATTCTTCTTGTCTGCTCCATGCAACTCATTCTTGTTATAATGAATTAGATTATAACATATATTCGATTGGCTACATTTTTCCTCTCCTAAAATAGATTTGGGATATGACCCAGTGCTCTGACGAGATCTGGGCCACACATTTGCAAATTGTCATTGGTTTGTCATTAAAACAAACAAACAAACAAACAAACAAAAACACCTCTCTCAGAAGTTCTAGGCCTTTTTTGGGAATTTGGCCCATTATTCTCTTCCCTATAGACATGCTCCCATCTCCCATTACATGTCATTAATTTAAACCAGAACCTACGAATGAAGAAAGAAGCCACTACAAATTACTAGTGGTCTGGAAGGGGACGTGGGGCAATTCCCATATAAAGATTTTAAGCAAGTCTTCCCTTGCTAGGGCATCTGATTCTTTTTATTTTTTGTTAACCAAGACCCAAGCCTGCTGTCAATGGCTCTTACTTATAGAAGCTATTTATAAAATAAATTTATAAAATATTTGTTCCTTGATTTTCTTATGGGGATAAAGTGAAGATCCAAATAACAATTATATATGAGATTGTATTCAGTTCAATTCAACAAACTTTTATAATGTACTTACTGAACATTAGAAGTTGTGCTTCTAAACATTTGGCCGGGCACGGTGGCTCACGCCTGTAATCCCAGCACTTTGGGAAGCCGAGGCAGGCAGATCACTTGAGGTCAGGAGTTCGAGACCAGCCTGGCCAACACGGTGAAACCCTGTCTCTACTAGAAAAAAAAAAATTAGCTGGTGTGGTGGCGGGTGCCTGTAATCCTAGCTACTCAGGAGGCTGAGGCACAAGAATCGCTTGAACCCAGGAGGTGGAGGTTGCAGTGAGCCGAGATTGCACCGTTGCACTCCAGCCTGGGTGACAGAGTGAGACCTTGTCTCAAAAAAATAAAAATAAAATAAAAACATTTATAAACGGTGAAAAGCAATACTGTATACATACAAGGTGTTATTTATTTATTAGAGATGGGGTCTCTCTATGTTGCTCAGGCTGAATTCGTGCTCTGTGCAACTGCCTCAGTCTCCTGTGTAGCTGGGACTATAGGCATGTGCCACCATGCCTGGGTAAGGTGTGCTTTTGACTTAATATAAATCATATAAAAGTTAAAACAGTAATAATTCCTTACTTTTCCTGTATGAGAAACTGAAGCTCAAAGAGGTTAAATGGTTTGCCTGCGGTCACACTCTGATTCTTAATATTCTCTTTGCTACTCTGCACTGCCTTTCCGGAAACTACATGGCAGGGTTTCCACCTTATTCATCTGAGAGGAATATCTTACATCTCATATGGTTTGGAGGAGTCCCCTTGAATAGCAAGTGAAATTATACTCCCCAAAGCGATTTGCTCCATGATTTTCAGATTTCATAATTTGTGTAGCTACAAGTTTAGGCACTTTTGTATATGTCATCTCATTCATCCTCACAACAACCCTAAGGGCATACAACTAGTGAATGGGAGAGCCAGGAATGGAACCTGGATATTCCTAATGTCTGAGTCCTATTTATTTCACTATACTATGCTGCTTTGTCTATCAGTTGTATAACCCTGGGCAAATCACTTAGCCTCTGTGACCCTGCATTACCTCATTTGTAAAGTGAGTATGACGATTACTTCCTTTTAGAGTTGTGAAGCTCAAATGTGCTAATATAAAGTAGAAAACACCGGTAGAAACACCGGTTGTGGTTATGGCTGATAAGTGTACCAAAGTGAAGTAATGTAAAACAGTATCTCTTATTCTCTCTTCAGTTAAAGAGATTAGCAGCAAAAAAGAAGCCAAGGAAGATGCTCTTGAATAAGTGGTTACTCACCAGACCTATATGGCTTGCTCTTGTTAGCTGGCCTTTGCCAGAAGGAGTCTGAGTAGAATTAGGAGTTCCTTGGGAAATTTCTGGAATGGTTTGCTTGTGGAGGCAATAGTCTAAAAACTTAGGTGGGGCTAACTCCATCCTGGGTCTTGTTCAGTTGTCCCTCCTACCACGGGGACTGCTATGATAATGGTAATGGGTGTAGGCCTGATAGAGTTGTGGTTTGTTGTAATGGGAAGCCATCGTGACTAAGAAATTAAGACCAATTCGGGCAAATACATTTATTGAGGCCTCTGTGGTAGGCTAAACTATGAGGGAGATAAAGCAGTGAGTCAGCCCCTTGTCCTCAAGGATTTTACAGTGCAGTGAGGTGGAGACAAACCCTCAACTAACGCTTACAGATAAGGCAGAGTATAAAAACGGTCACATCAGAACAACTTAGAGGTGGGGTGTGGAGTTCCTAGAAGGCTTCTTGAAGTAGGTGGTATATACTCTGAGACTTTGAAGATGAATTTCAAGTAACTGGGTATTCCAACTGAAGGTTGGCAGCATCAGAAGGTGTAGGATGTGTTATGTTTAATATAGGCAGGAACGAAGGCCTTTACTGAGCATGCACTGTAATGCTAGGGTCTGACGATATAGAAATATATTGAAAACAGTTCTTGCCATTGAGGAGCTCTTAATCTAGAGGGATAGATAGGTGTAAACTGTCATTAGGGTGATGACTTCACAAGGTAGAGAAGAAAGGTTATAAAGGAGAGTGTGTAACTCTGACATAAGGAAGAGAAAAAGATACTTTGCAAAGGAGGTGAAACTTGAATTATGTCCTGAGAAAGAAGGAGGAGTTTGCTAAGTGGATGATGGGAGAAGCTAGGAGTGCTACAGGCACCAGCGTTCCCTTGTTAAACAATCTAAATGTGACAGGCACCAGGCAAATACATTTTTGCTTCCCCTTTCCAAATGGATTTTGGCTGTGGGAGGGAATGACTTAATGTCTTCTTTTCCAATATACTAGCAGATGGTTAAATATTTACAGTTAGACTTGGATTCTAATTCAGCTATATAATTAGCTGTATGACCTTAGTAAGACACTTATTTGTGTTTCAGTTCCTTCATTCATACAATTCAAAAAATAAGAGTCTAGTACAGAGCCTGGCATATATAAAGTGCCATTATTATTTTCTATCATTATCTCATTTAGTCTTTGTAAGTAACTGGGCCTCTAGTTACAATTTCCCCCATTTTTCAGAAGCAGGAGCTCAGCGTAGGTAGGTGGCCTGTCTGAAGTTCACAGGTCAATCTGCAGTCGCCTCCGCAGCCCGTCCGCTTTAATTTTATGTCCGCGCCGGGTTTTCCAAGGCGGCCCCGGGGGCAGGCTCTGGTCCGGTGGCCGAGACTCCGGCGCCAGGGTTTGGGCGGCGCCGCGGCCGGCTCCGGCGGGCGGGCAGGCGGGCGGGGCCAGGCGGGGCGGGGCGGGCGTGGGGAGGGAAGTTGTGGAAGTTAGGGGAGACGCCCGCCCGCCCGCCCCGGCCTCGCCTGCGGCCGCTCCCTCCGCCTCCTCCCCGCCCCGAGCCCCAGTCAGCCCGTCTTCCTTCCCCTCCCTTGCATGATGGAAACACCATGGCTGCGGCGGCCCAGCTCTCTCTGACACAGGTAACGCCACACGCCCGTCCGCCGGGCTTGGCCGGCCGGTGCCCCCTCCCCCACCGCCCTCAGCTTCGCCGACTTCTTGGCTTGTGGGCCAAGCAGGCAGCTTCTTGGCTTGTGGGCCGGGCGGCCGGTGTGTGTGAGGGAAAGCGGGTGCGACTGCGGGAGGGCGCCCTCCGGAGCCGGAGCCCCCCTGCGGCCGCCGCGACCTCGCCCAGGGTCGTCGGGCGCCTCCTGCCCCGCCCCGCGCGGCCCTCGCCGCCCTCCGCGCCGCTGCCGAGTGGACTGTGACCCGGCCGCGCTCTGCCGGTGCCGGGCCGGCTCCCGCGGGGCAGCTTTCACCTACCCAGGAAGTTTCCTCCCACAGGGCCGCACGCATCCCAGGTGAGCTCCTGTTGAGCTCGCGCGGGCCGGCCGCACCCCCGGGCCGCACGAGGCTCGCCCGCCAGGCCGGCTGCGCGCCGCCCCCAGTAGGAGTTGCCTTCCAGAGCCGGACGCGCAGGCCCCCCAAGCCAGTCTTTCCTCTCCAGACCTGCCTTTCTCCCAGGGTCCGACGGAAGCCCTCCCTTCCCAGAGTTTAATGTAGTTAGCCTCGCCTCCAAAGAAGTCTCATCCTACTCAACTACCCACTCTGCCGGCCCCTTCCTCCGTTCAGCCTCTCCCCCCTCCTGATCAGGTTTCCTTCTGGGTCAGACCCCCAATGCAGCCTTTTGCCACCCACGTCTGCTTCCACTTCAACTTCCCCTCGGGGGGCTCACGCCTGATCGCTGTCCAGGTGGATCCCTTTAACGGGTGTGGTGGCTCCGCCAGTCTTGGTGCCAGGAACGGCCTCCCGGGGAGCACTTTTCTTGGGGGGAATCCTCAGCAAAACCTGTTCTCGAGCTTCCCTCTTGCCTCGTTGCTTCCTGTCAAAGTCCAGTCCTTGTGCTTCTCAGAAAACCTCTAAACATCACTCACACTGGGAACCTGGTCCCTCCCTCTCTGTAAAGAAGCCAATTACAATGTAAACATGGTGTCCGGGATGATAAGGTGACAGACACCTGCCAGTTCCTTCCTGCTCCTGTGACCCAAACTCTCCCCCGCGTCTCCTCAGACGGTTCTCTCCAGAGCTGGTGGCGCGTGCTTCCCGATTGGGGCCCATCCCGTCTTCCTTGCCTGCATTGTGGTATCTCACTGCCATCTTGTACTCCTTGGCCTAGATTCGTCGGTGCTTCTAAGGCTTTAGCGCTGGGATAGGGCAAACATTTCGGCAGTGGAGTTTTCTGTGTTTAAAATCAAGAGGCTTTGGGGTGCTTTGCCTAGCACTGTAGGATAGAGAGAAAAAAATGTTTTCTCAGAAACCAGGAGTCACGTACATGCTTCATGTAAAATAACTAACCCGTGTTTGCAGGAATTCTAAGTGTCATAAGGAAAGTCTATTTCCCAGTTTTTTTGATGGTGGTGGTGGTTGTCCTGTTCTGACAAGCAGAGAACCCTTTAACATGGAATGTGGTGGTTTAGTCTTGGTTATGTATGTTTGGAAGGGTCCTCCCAAAACTCAAATTTGAACAACTACAGCACTGACTTTTAGGTATTCACTTTCTGTGAGTCTAGTTAGTGACTTGCATTAAACAAGATCCCTGTTGGCAGGCTGTTGTTTTCTGGCTCTGTTGGCCAATTCTGGCAGGAGTTTTCCCTTGAAGATTTTGTGCTCTTAAAGACTTCCGTAAAATTGCTTCTCAGTTGTGTGCATACTTTATTCTCTCCCTGGGTAATACCATGTTTTTAGCTTCTATTTACATCATTCATCTCTGGAGAATTGCTTCAAGCTCTGTCAGTTTTATAGCCATTTAAAAAATTTACATATGTTCTTGGGTTATATATTTAGGTATTAATGTGTACACAGTAAGTACGGAATCAGTAGTAGCTATTATCCTTCAGTGCCTCACATATGAGATAATATACATTGGTGGTTAATTTTTATTGATAATTCAAATAAGTAAATTCAGAATATTCTGATTTTAAAACATGAAGAGGCAATAAGAGGGATTACGAAGGCACACGAAAAAATAACATTTCCAGTTGCTAGTATACCCTAATGTGCCTCCTTGTTACTTCAAAACTTTGCAGATTTGTGGTTTTTAAATTTAATTTAATTTTTTTATAACTGCCTGAGCCCAATACACTAAGATAACAATGCAGCCTGGTTTCACATTCATTACTGACCCGTTTGTCATCCTCTGTTCCCCCCACCCTGCCCACTCTCCCAGCACACACATTTAGACATAGGCATACTCAAGTGAGAGCTCATTCAGGGCAGGGACATCTTTTAATCCATCTTTCTCCCATGGTACCTATCTGGAAGAAAGTAATTAATAACTGTTGTAGGAATGACTGAAAGCTCTAAAGGGTTCTATAACAGTTATGGAGATTAAACATGCTCAAGTTAATTTCTGCTTCTGTTCATATGTTGATGATTTTCATTCAGCAAATATTTTTATAGTACCTATTATGTACTAGACATTGTACTGGGATTATCGTGTTTATAATTTCTTGCCTTTACCAATTAAGCAAAACTGAGTTTGGGGAAAAAATGTGAAAAATGTTTTAGCTTATGCCTTCCTTCCTTTTTCCAAGCTTGCCAACCAACCCTTCAACTCCCCAGCCACCAAAATAAATTATCTAAATTATTATAGTCTAGCTTCTAGAGATGATAGAATGCTAGAGTACCAAAATGTTAGTTCCAGTTCTGCTTTGGCCACAGCTAACTGTATGGGTTTGGGTTAAATATCCAGGCCTCAGTTTTCTTAACTTTAAAAGAGACTCAACAAACATTTGCTGAGCATTCAGTATGTGCTAGGAATTACTCTAGGTACTGAGGATATATATACTCATGAACAAAAATAGTTAACAATTCTTTGACCTTGGAGACAAAACCTGGAACTTATTTCTGCTAGAGGAGTTTGAATTAGCTGATCTAAGGACCTTTCCAACTTTTAAGATCCTGTTTTATAGACAGTGTTCTATGATTTATAGACCTAGTGGACTTTCTCTGGGTTCTTTAGTGCTTTACAGCCTTAAATGTTTTCTAATTCAGTTGTCTTTACTAGGTGTTCTGTTTACTTCTTGTCAATGAGAAGTAAAACCTGAGGGAGAAAGATCTTGATTTTTGCTTCTGTTGGTAGATTAGAAAAAAAGCATGTAATACTTAAAAAAAAAAAGTTTCCAATAGTCAGTTTTACTCCCTAACGCCCATATCCCTAATAATAATAATACTGTTAACTTCCCTTTGGGAATTACTATATGCCAGGAATTTTACTACACTTAGAATCTAACGATATGTTTTACAAATTAGAGAAGCTAGTAAGTAAGCTAGTAAGTGGTGAATCTACGATTTGAACCAAGGTCTGTAGGACTTCAAAAGCTATTTCACTGTTCTTCTCTATGTACTAGATGCTTGGCCTATCCAACGCTCCCTTACATTTTTTGTTCTTTTTTTTCGGCATATGCCATTGTCTTAAGTAGTAAGCCTCTTGAGGATATAAGCCATGGTTTTTGCCTCTGAATCTCTAGTGCCTTTGATAATATCTTGGATGATACAATTGTGTGTTCAAAGTTAGTGCTATTGATGATAAAGGTTTTATTTTACTGAGATAGGATTTGAATATTTAAAATAGTCTTTTAGCAATTCAGCTTTATACTGGTTTTCTTGCTTTAGTTTAGCAAGAATTTTTTTTTTTTTTTGTTTTGTTTTGAGACAGGATCACACTCTGTCACCCATGTTGGAGTACAGTGGCATGATCAGGCTCACTGCATCCTCAACCTTGTGGGCTCAAGGGATCCTCCCATTTCAGCCTCCTGAGTAGCTGGGACTACAAGTGTGCATCGCCATGCCCAGCTAATTTTTAAAATTTTTTTGTAGAGACAGGGACTCACTCACTATGTTGTCAGATTCTTTTTTTTTTTTAAAGTAATAAAAAAGCCCTTAAGTAGGGACTTAATTTTAAAAATCCTAGTATATAAATGGTATAACAACAGTTCTAATGCTTTTTTTGTTAAATTACAAGAGTGATATAACTGTATTACAGAAAACTTGGAAATTAGAGGAAAACATCTCCCATAATTTCACAGTTTGTAGTGTTTATTTTCAGTTTCATTTTTTAAACAAGTACGCAGTACAAGTGCTAATAAACATATCATCTTAGTAGTCTGGTTTAACAATTATGACAGTAAATACAGGTTAGTTTGAAAATGACAACATGTTCTCAGAAGCAGAAAAGTGATATTGTTCTCAACATGACAGATATTTGAGTTCCTACAATGGGAAAGGCACATTAATGATGTTTTTCTTTATTGCCTATAATTATGGTTCGATATACTCAGGAAATCTCTTGAGAGAGATATCTAACCCTTCTCAAAGATGGCTTGAAATGTTCAGCACTTGGGAGAGGTTGTCATAGTTAAAATTAATTAGGAACAAGTTCATCCAATAGCAAGTCTCTCAGGAATAATCTAAGAGTGCATTCCTTTGTTTTCACTCTATTTGCAGACAGAATGCTAGTAACAGACTAACGTGTAATAGAAAAAGATTGAGTATCATTAGCAACGAATCATAGTTCAGAATCTCTGCAATCTCTAATAGTGTGATTTTAAAGGCCTAATCTAAGATATTTTACTTGTTCTTTAGGGAATTACAAAAAGCACTTTATATACTTGTTTGTGAGTTTGGGGCTTAATAAAATTGGGAGCAGAAAAGATAACTATTGGGTACTGGGCTTAATACCTATGACACAAGTCCACTGATGTAATAAACCTTCACATGTACCCTTGAACCTAAAATAAAAGTTTTTAAAAAAAAAATCAGTACTCTGGAAACCAAAACCAAGTAAATGGCCTGAGAGAGATCTGGTTAGTTGGAGAACTGGTAGAAATAATAAACGAAAAGTTACTCCAGGCAGAGTTCATTAGGCAAATTCATATGCTGGAGTTTCATTTTTAAAGCAGTTGAATCAACAAGGTATGCCTTCATTAATTATATTTATTAGGTGTTTTTAATAATCTGAGGAATCTTGTAAATTGAATGCTGTATTACAGTAAAGTGAACTTTTTTTATTTAGACAAATGATCTAACCCAGTTAAGCATGCGTAGAAGAAAGCCTGGAAGAAAAAAAACACTAAAATTTTATAGTAGCATGGTTGTAGTTTTTATCTACCTTGTTTTCAACAGTGAGAATGTATTCCTTCTGTAATCAACTGATTTAGCTTTTCTCTATGGCATTTTTGAGAATTTATTCATTTAAATTGAATACACAATAACTACGTGTAAAGTAAAGCTTTGTGTTCTAAGATTGTGTCTACACTTAGTTTTCATCCTAAACATTTAGAGAAATTGATTAGAGGAATGATAATAATTATATTAATTGATTTGGACAATTCAGTTAGAGGACTAATTTATAATTTTTTGTGCTGCTTTATAACTTAACAAAGCGTAACCTATGAACTAAGCTATTATTATCATCATTTCAAATTGGAGGATACTGAGGCTCAGAATTTGGGACTTAGGTTTTATAGTTAGTAAATTAAAAAACCAATATAAATTCATGGTTAAAAAAATTCATACAATGCTAGTGAAGTCTTCTTTCTGCTTTAGGCCCTCATTTGCTTTCCCAGAGGCAGCCATTCTTGCCAGTTTCTTGTGTGAATTTCCAGTAATAGTCTGTGTATATGCGAATAAATATATATGTATACTGTATATGTATATTCTTTTGTGTAAGCTGTTTATTGTTTCACAGTTTGTTGTTATATTATTTTTAGCTTAACTGATTTAGGAGATTGCTCTATAACATCACATATAGATCTCCCTTATTGTTTTCAAAACCTCAGGGTATTTCTATATGTGAACTTACTGTTATTTATTTTACTGGCCACCTAATGCTGGACATTTATTTTGTTTTCAATCTTTTGTTACAACTATGCTGCAGTGGATACTCTTTTACATGTTTTTGTGCACATGTGTGAGCATATGGATTAATTTCTAGTAGGTGTAATTTTTGGGCCAGAGGATACTTTTAATCTGCATAGATACTGCTAATTTGGGGTAGGCATAGTGGCTCAGGCCTATAATTCCAGTGCTTTGGGAGGCTGAGGCGGAAGGATTGATTGAAGCCAAGAGTTCAAGGCCTGGGTAACATAGTGAAATCCATCTGGGACAAAAAAAAAATTTTTTTTAATTAGCTGGGCATGGTGGTGTGTGCCCGTAGTCCTAGCAGGCTACAGGTGAGCTATGATTAGCAGGTTACAGTGAGCTATAATTGCACCACTGCACTCCAGCCTAGGTGACAGAGCTAAGACCCTGTCTCCAAAAAAAAAAAAAAAAAAAAAAGATATTGCTCATTTACATTCAGAAACACTGTAGCAGCACACATGTTTGAGAGTGTCATTTCCTCCACAGCTTGATCAACATGTATATTATTGTCAGTCCAGTAATCAGAAAGATTTCAAACAATTTCATTGTTTTAGTTTGTTATTTCTTTATGGGTAAGGCTGAACTTATTTTTTTTTCCTTTGAAACCATTTGTATTTCTTTTTTTATAAACTGCTTTAGTCTTTTACCTGTTCTCTTGATGGGCTGTTTGTCTTCTTTCTCACTGATTTGTAAGAACTCTTCTTATATTTAGGAAATTTGCCCTTCTTTGCAAAATCCTTTGCAAAATTTTTTTCTCTGAATTTTTTTTTGTTTTTGGCATTTTTTGATT
The DNA here is from genome assembly GCF_000001405.40 of Homo sapiens. Taxonomy (NCBI): domain Eukaryota; kingdom Metazoa; phylum Chordata; class Mammalia; order Primates; family Hominidae; genus Homo; species Homo sapiens. The sequence continues at coordinate 51,512,470 of NC_000001.11, read as the reverse complement.
ATGTAGAAATATTTGTTTTATATGTTTAATTTGTCAGTCTTTTCTCTTAGAGCTTCTGCAAAATCTAGATTTTTAAACTTCAGGAGCAGAGGCAGACTAATATAACTGCAAGAGCACACCTGTTCTGCCCCTGAGTAGTTCTGTGATCTTGGGCAAATTACTTAACCTCTTAAGTGCACTCATTTGCATATTAGAAATAAACTACTGAGACTTCTTGGGTATTATTGAGACCTCTTAAGCATGTTGTGATTACAAAATGAACTGGTGACTTATTTTCTTTAGCTACTCCTGTAGTTTCCCAATTTGTTAAAAGCTGGCCTTGTACCCTGCCTCATATACTCTGCTTTCCTATCACATAAATGTGAACTTCTGAATATTTTGTGCAAAAGTAGGATAGAAATGAGGTAGAAGAAACTCATTTTTGTGATATAAATAAGGCTTTCAAATGAATCAGAGGTGCAATTAAAAAATAAAAGTTGGGCTCTTTTTAAAACTTGTTTTTATGTGGTAAAAATATACAAAGAAAAGTAAGCCTCACTTCCTCCCTCCTTTAAACTGGGGATTATTACAATGGGAATATAACAGTACCAGGAGTTTTTCATCTGAAATAATCAAACTGCTTATTCCTTACTAAATCTGCAATAAGAATACAAATTTGACCAAGAATGCTAGGATAAGAACATATTTTTTGGAGGAAGACGTTTATATTACAGTACTTTATAGTTTTTTAGATCATGGTTTCTCAGCCTTGGCACTTTGAGATTTTGGGCTGGAGAATTTCTTGTTGTGGGAGGCTGTTCTGTGCATTGTAGGGTGTTTTGCAGCATCCTTATCCATTAGACGTAACACCTTCACCAGTTGCAGCAATCAGAAATATCTCCAGACACTGACAAATATTTCCTAGAGGATTAAATTGCCTCTGGTTTAGAATCACTGGTTTATTTATTTATTTTTATTTTAAAGTTTTAGTACTTTTGAGAGAGAGTCTCGCTCTGTCGTCCAGGCTGGAGTGCAGTGGTGTGATCTTGGCTCACTGCAACCTCCACCCCTGGGTTCAAGCAATTCTCGTGCCTCAGCCTCCCGAGTAGCTGGGATTACAGGCGTGCATCACCACGCCTGGCTAATTTTTTTTGTATTTTTAGTACAGATGGATTTCACCATGTTTTCCAGGCTGGTCTCTATCTCCCGACCTCAAGTGATCCTCCTGCCTTGGCCTCCCAAAGTATTGAGATTATAGTGTGAGCCACTGCGCCCGGCCAAATCACTGGTTTAGATATATACTTATTTATTTATTATTATTTTTTGAGGCGGAGGTCTGGCTCTGTCGCTCAGGCTGGAGTGCAGTGGTGTGATCTCGGCTCACTGTAACCTCTGCCTCCCGAGTTCAAATGATTCTCCTGCCTCAGCCTCCCAAGTAGCTGGGATTATAGGCGCCCACCGCCACACCTGGCTAATTTTTGTGTTTTTAGTAGAGACGGGGTTTCACCATGTTGGCCAGGCTGGTCTCGAACTCCTGACCTCAGGTGATCCTCCCTCCTCAGCCTCCCAAATTGCTTGGGATTACAGGCGTGAGCCATCGTGCCCGGCCTAGATACATACTTTCTGTGGTCCATTAGGACATACAAGATATACTTTCTAGGGGTGAGGACAGGGGAAAGAGTTTATCTTCATATTTTTATTCTTAAGCCTGCCATGAGCCATGATTGACTCCTTGTGCATAAATATTGAGCTTAAAAAACTTAAATGAGAAGGCAACCTGAAATTGTGAACTTAATTTTATGTGTGATTTCTGTGCCTTTTTTAGTGTGATCTCCTCCCTCTTCCGGCTCCACTGTAGTTTGGAAACTTAGTGTGGTCTTCTTTTAGTTGTGGAACAGTTCTATCTAGTGGGCTAAGTATCAATACAGAGATCCTGGAAGGAAAACATTCTTATGCCACTGTTGAGAAGGAAGAGGACTGATGCTTCTAGAACACCTAATAAATACTAAATACTTTTAGATGATCTACATACATTATTTCACTTAATCTTCATAGCCTTTCTACAAGTAGGCATTAATCTTCTGTATTACTTGCTCACGGTTGTATTTTAAGTGGGAGAGTTGAGACTTGAACCCAGGCACATCTGTTCTCCAAGTACATTTGCTATGCTGCTTCCTATAGTCATTGATGATATTTCAGTCAAATTTTGGGATAAGAATGAACATTCATGTGATCTTACATTCCTCTATTGTTATGTAAAAGAAATTATCCAGTGGTGTGTGTGTGCGTGTGTTTGTGTGTATTGGGGAGGAGGTCAATAGTGGGATAATAACAATAATACTTACTGAGCACACTTACGTGTCATGTGCTATTTTCAATAATCTTTACAACCTGATGAACCTTTCAGTATTCTTTACAACTTGGTAATCCTTATATCCCTGTTTTACAAAAACAAAACAAAATAAAAAACTGGGACACAGAGGTGAAGTAATTTGTTCAAGGTCAAACTGCTGCTAAGTGGTAGAGCCAGAATTGTAACCCAGTAGTCTAAGCAACTCGGATATTGATTGAATGAGTCTGCATTTTTAAGGGCAAAATGGCTCTGACAGAGCTTATTGTGGTACCATTCCTTGGTTATAGCTGAACATATGTTGTAGGCTACTACATCTTCCTATGTGAAAATCAACTTATCATTGCATACACCACATCTCTAGAAAGTGATTGTTGCACGAAGTTATAGTGGAAAGTTTTTGTAGACATAGTAGAAGGTAGTTTTTCATTTTGCAACCTCCAGATTTATTGCTCATGAAAATCTAAGCTTGTCTAGGTTAGTGTACATCATACCAATATTTACTTTTAAGCTAATATTCTCTCAGACATGGTTATTTGGACTTGGAGTTTCTACAGTATTGTATTGCTAAAGATAAAATGTATCAGAGACTCCCTATAAAATAGACTTTTATTGACTAAAACCTGGAACCATTAGCTGTAATGATTTCTGATCCTCAGATGAACATTTTTGAGAACTAGCATAAAATAATGAGAGAGATCTTGGGCTCTGAAGTTAGAATGTCTTAGGTAAATTGATAGATTTTAGTTATATGAGCCATTAATTTTTATGAAATGTTGCACTTAATTAGAATTTTGATGGATCATTTATACTAAGGATTATTGATAACTTCATTCCATCTTTTGTTCTGTAGGTACAACATAGATATAGCATTATGCATATATAAAAAATATGAAATTATATGCATTAAAGGTGCTTCCAGTATTGATGGTTGATCCTCTGTTTCAGAAAACATTTACTAGATGCCTCCTGTGTGTCACTACTCTAGTAAGCCTTGGACATACAGAATAAGACCATGACATTTGCTCTGAAGTAGCTTTTGGTTTTTTAGGGAGATAAACACTGACTTTCTTGTGTGACAAGTACTGTGATAAAGGATGATAGAAGTAAGGCAAGGGGGTGCCATGAGAGAATACTGTGATTATGATGAAACTTTTGGTGGTAATATAGTTTTTAATTATTTAATGGTTTTATAGGATCCAGGGTTGTTACTGTAGAGGATATTTAAACTGTACTTGAAAGGATAACATAAATCTATAGGAACATTTGATTCAAGTTAAATTGTATTTTGGTGCATAGAGTTCATATTGTGGGATATAACATCAATTTTCTTATGAGATTCCTTGTTTTATCTTTTTTTTGTAATAAAGGAAGAATTTTTAACTTTGACCATAGAGCATAGGAAGGGGACTCAAGGATAGACTTCAAAAGATCTGTGATCTACTCCAAAACAGTAGGTAAAATATTTTATATATATATTTTAACAGAGTGTCAAGATTCTCATCCCAGGGACACTGAGAGAAGTTTTACGTAGTGGGAAGAACACTGGATATAGTACAAGACAAACCTGGATTGAATTGTAGCTCTGCCATTTGTGACATCTCTGAGTGATCATGGCAAATTACTTAAACCCTTTCATTTGCTTATGTATGATGTATACACATTGTTGAGATATAGGAGACATTTGATAAATAGAATTGCTTGTATTATTATTAATACTTACCTGCAGAATTTATATGTATTTGTTTAAATTTTCTCTTTCTTTCTTTCTTTCTTTCTTTCTTTCTTTCTTTCTTTCTTTCTCTCTTTCTCTTTCTCTCTTTCTCTCTTTCTCTCTTTCTCTCTCTCTCTTTCTCTCTTTCTCTCTTTCTCTCTCTCTCTCTCTCTCTCTCTTTCTCTCTTTCTTTTCTTTTCTTTTCTTTTCTTTTCTTTTCTTTTCTTTTCTTTTCTTTTCTCTTTTTGTGACTGAGTCTTGCTCTGTTGCCAGGCTGGAGTGCAATGGTGCGATCTCAGCTCACTGCAACCTCCACCTCTCGGGTTCAAGCAATTCTCCTGCCTCAGCCTCCTGAGTAGCTGGGACTACAGGTGCACACCACCATGCCCAGCCAATTTTTGTATTTTGTATTTTTAGTAGAGAGGGCTTTCACCATGTTGGCCAGGATGGTCTCGATCTTCTGACCTCGTGATCCACCTGCCTCGGCCTCCCAAAGTGCTGGAAATACAGGCGTGAGCCACCGCGTTGGGCCTAAATGTTTTTTCATTTCCAGTATTCTTCACTCACTAAAGAAAACTTGGAACATGCATGTCGAAAAGTAGAAGATAGATCACCATCCACACCATTCTTTAAATTTTAGTCTTTTACATCGTTTCTTTTTTTTCCAAATGTAGTTATTATCTCTCTTTCATACACACACACACATATATATGTGTGTATATATATGTATGTAACATTTTTTATTCTGTTCTCCTTTTTTTTTTTCTGAGATGGAGTCTTCCTCTGTCACCCAGACTGGAGTACAGTGACGTGATCTCAGCCCACTGCAACTTCCATCTCCCAGGTTCAAGCAGTTCTCCTGCCTCAGTATCCCAAGTAGCTGGGATTACAGGTGTGTGCCACCATACCTGCCCAATTTTTGTATTTTTGGTAGAGATGGGGTTTCACCATGTTGGCCAGGCTAGTCTTGAACTCCTGATCTTGTGATCTACCCGCCTCAGCCTCCCAAAGTGCTGGGATTACAGGTGTGAGCCACTGCACCTGGCCTATTCTGTTTTCTTTAAGTGTTTTCCTATGTGGTCTGCTTAGCATCTTTTTAATGTCTTTGGAGCATATTAATTGATTGTGTGCTTTATAGTTTAAGCCCTAATGTGTACAGATATTTTATATATGTCCACTATAATTTATGCTGTTGCAAATAACCTTTGCTCTACCATTTGATAAATTTTTTTCTGTAGAGTTATATGTGGTACTTATTATATTATTGAATTATTTTTCTATGTATACATTTGAGTTTTGAAATCAAATGAGTGAATTTTTAGTTTATATTTTAAGATCTTGAATGGTAAAGCAGACAGCAGCAAGGGTTAACTCGAGCAATAATCTGAAAAATGCTATTCTGAAGGGATTAAACCGAGCATATTTAATTTGGTTGCAAGGGCCATTTATAGTTTGTCAGAGTTCACTTAGCATAGGAAATTGGCATTAAAAGTTGTGAGCTTGAAGAAGATTGAAATATTTCAGTTTGTATATACAGTTTTCACCCTTCTCTGCAGTCTGTATTGCTTTCATTCTTAGTTTGTTCTCTACATTCTTAGTTTGTTCTCTACATTCTGTTCTGTTCTGTTTTTTTTTTTTTTTCTGGCACACTTTTATGCGGCGCCTTGTAAGATCTGGGGGTGGATTCTGGACCATCTGGCACTTCAGAATAGCTCAAAACCTTAACTCTCTTGACTCTACTTTGAGCCATACTTGCTTGAAATGTCCTGGTTTGTCTCTCTGCTTGGCACGTTTTCTGCTTTATACCCTCAGAGCTTTTTATGACTAATTTCTTCCTTAGGACAGGAATTTTAAGAGTACCAGTATTCATAAGTTAAAGTGGACAAGACTTATTTCACTGTAAAATTCACCAAAAAAACCCTCATAAACTTTGCAATCTGTTTTTAAATGTATAATTGACATGAGCACTTATGTCTGTTTGATAAATATTTAAAATATTCAAAAATGGAATTTTTTAAGGTACTGCTTATAGTTTTTCTTTGATTATGAGGCCAGTTAGGAAAGTGTAATTCTGCAAATTGTAAATCTACTGAGTTGATTTCTAGTCCTAGCTTTAAAATACTTCATATGTCCAAATTAATAATAAGTTAAAAAGATATACCTGCATTTAAAAATATGAGCCATCTACCAATTCCAAAAAGCTGTGGAGGTAGTTAATGTATAAAATATTTAAACATTGTTGGCTGGGCACGGTGGCTGACGCCTGTAATCCCAGCACTTTCGGAGGCTGAGGTGGGAGGATCACCTGAGGTCAGGAGTTTGAGACCAGCCTGGCCAAAGTGGTGAAACTCCGCCTCTGCTAAAAATACAAAAATCAGCCGGGTGTGGTGGCAGGCACCTGTAATTCTAGCTACTCGGGAGGCCAAGGCAGGAGAATTGCTTGAACCTAGGAGGCAGAGGTTGTAGTGAGCCAAGATTGCGCCATTGTAATCCAGCCTGGGTGACAGAGCAAGACTCCATCTCAAAACAAACCAACAAATAAATAAATAAATAAATTGTAGTGAGCCAAGATTGCGCCATTGCACTCCAGCCTGGATGACAGAGACTCCATCTCAAAAAATAAATAAATAAATAAAAATAAAATAAAATATTTAAACATTGTTTACTTTTATTAAGAGACTTTTTTTGTAGCTTTATGCTCCATTGTTCTTTTCTAAAATTTTTATTTTTTACTTTTTAAACAGTTTAATTGAGATGTAATTCACATACCATACAACTTACCCTATAAAGTGTACAATTCAGTGGTTTTTAGTCTCTTCACAGATACGTGCAAACATCAATTTTAGAACAATTTTATCACCTCAGAAAGAAACTTGTACCCCTCAGCTATCACCCTCCCATATTGCATGCTTCCCCCAGCCTAAGCAACTATTAATCTACTTTCTGTCTCTATAGAGTTTGTTATTCTGGACTTTGTATGAATGGAATAATATAATACATATACTCTTATGACTGCCTTCTATCACTTTTTGTGGTTTATCTATGTTGCAGCAAGTATCAGTAATTCATTCCTTTTTTTGGTTGAAAAATATTCCATCGTATGGTTATACCACATTTTGTTTTTCCATTTGTTCATTGGTGGATATTTGGGTGGTTTCCACCTTTTGGCTGTTATGAATAATGCTTTTATAAGCATTCATATACAAGGTTTTGTGTAAATATATGTTTTCACTTCTCCTGGGCACATATCTGGTCATGTGGAAATTCTGTGTTTAATCATTTGAAGAGCTGCAGATTTTTTTTTTTTTGAGACACAGTCTCACTCTTTCACCCAGGCTGGAGTGCAGTGGCGCAATCATGGCTCACTGCAACCTCTGCCTCCTCGGTTAAGCGATTCTCCTGCCTCACCCTCCCGAGTAGCTGGGACTACAGGTATATACCACCACACCCGGCTAATTTTTGTATTTTTAGTAGAGACAGGGTTTTACCATGTTGTCTGGGCTGGTCTCAAACTCTTGGCCTCAAGTGATCCACCCGCTTCGGCCGCCCAAAGCACTGGGATTATAGGTGTGAGCCACCACGCTCGGCTGCTGACTGTTTTAGAGCAGCTGCACCATTTATATTTGTACCAGCAGTGTACCGGGATGAGGATTTCTCCACATCCTCTCCAGTAATTGTTATTAGCTGATTCTTTGATTTTGGCTTACTTTTTTTAGTATCTCATTGTGTTTTCGATTTTCATTTCTCTGATGATTAATGATGTCAAGCATCTTTTTATGTGCTTATTAGCCATTTGTATGTCTTCTTTAGAGAAATGTCTATTTATATTCTTTGCCTGTTTTAAAATTGAGTTGTCTTTTTATTATTGAGTTGTAAGAATTCTTTATGTATTCTAGATAGAAGTCCTTATTAGATACGTGGTTTGCATATATTTTCTCCCATTTCATGGATTATTTTCTTGATGGTGTTCTTTGAAGTACTTTGAAGTTTTTAATTTAATTTTAATTTATTTTGTTTTCAGACAGGGTCTTGCTCTGTTGCCCAGGCTGGAGTGCAGTGGTACAATCACAGTTCATTGCAACCTCGACCTCCAGGGCTCAAGTGATCCTCCCACCTCAGCCTCCCCAGTAGCTGGGACTACAAGTGCACGCCACCTTGCCCAGCTAATTGTTTTTATATTTTTTGTAGAGATGGGGTTTCACCATGTTGCCCAGGCTGGTCTTGAACTCCTGGGCAACATGCTCGCTTTCGCCTCCCAGAGTGCTGGGATTACAGGCTGACATAAGCCACCTTGCCTGGCCTGAAGTTTATAATTTTTATAAAGTCTAATTTATATATATTTTTCTTTTGTTGCTTGTGCTTTTGGTGACATAGCTGAGTCTTTTGGCAAATCTAAGGTCATGAAGATTTATCCCTGTGTTTTCTTTTAAGAGTTTTATAGTTTTAGCTATTATATCTAGGTCCTTGATCTATTTCAAGTTGATTTTTATATATGGTGTGAGGTAAAGGTCCAACTTCATTTTTTTGCTAGTGGATATCTTTTGCTTGTGACATGGTATTCCAGCATCATTTGTTGAAAAGGCTATTCTTTCCACATTGAATGATCTTGGCACTCTTGTCAATAATCAGTTAACCATAGATGTATGATTTAGTTCTGACTTAATTCTGTTCCATTGATCTATATGTCCTGTGCAGTACAACACTGTCTTGAGTATTGTTGTTTTGTAATACATTTTGAAATTGGGATGTGTTAGTCCTCTAACTTTGCTTTTTTATTTTTTATTTTTTGTTGTTGTTCACTTCTGTTGCTCAGGCTGGAGTGCTGTGGTGCAAACTCGGCTCATTGCAACCTCTGCCTCCTGGGTTCAAGCGATTCTCCTGCCTCAGCCTCCTGAGTAACTGGGATTACAGGCGCATGCCACCATTCCTGGTTAATTTTTGTATTTTTAGTAGAGATGTTTAGTAGAGTAGACCATGTTGGCTAGGCTGGTCTCAAACTCCCGACTTTAGGTAATCCACCCGCCTCAGCCTCCCAAAGTGCTGGGATTACAGGCATGACCCACCGCGCCCAGCCTACTTTGCTTTTTTCTTTCAAGATTGTTTCGGCTATTCCGGATTCCTTGCAATTCTATCTGAATTTCAGAATCAGCTTGCCAGTTTCTACAAAACAGTCAGTTGGAATTCTCATATAAATTGCATTGAATCTATAGATTAGTTTGGGGAGTATTATCTTAACAAGGTCTTCTGATCTATGAACGTGGGATGTTTTTCCTTTTTATTTTTAACTTCTTTAATTTTGTTCAGTGTCTTGTAGTTTTTAGAGTATAGTAAGTCTTGTACTTTTGTTAAAGCTATAACAAATAAATTGATAAGAAAACTGTTTGATGCTATTGTGAATGGAATTCTTTTTTTTTTTTTTTTGAGACAGAGTCTCACTCTGTCGCCCAGACTGGAGTTCAGTGGCATGGATCTTGGCTCACTGCAACCTCCACCTCCCAGATTCAAGTGATTCTGCTGCATCAGCCTCCCGAGTAGTTGGAATTATAGGCAAGCCCCCACCACGCCCAGCTAATTTTTGTATTTTTAGTAGAGATGCGGTTTCACCATGTTGGCCAGGTTGCTTTCGGACTCCTGACCTCAGGTGATCCACCCAACTTAGCCTCCCAAAGTGCTGTGATTACAGGCGTGAGCCACCGTGCCCAGCCTGGAATTGATTTCTTAATTTCATTTACAGATTCTTCGTTGGAAGTGTATAAAAACAAAAATTTTTTTATACTGATCTTGTATCCTGTAACCATCTGAACATATTTATTACCTTTAGTAGTTTTTAGTGGATACCTTAGGATTTTCTGTATATAAGTTCATGTCCTCTGCAAATACAGATTTACTTCCTCCCCCAATCTAGATGCTATTTCTTATTCTTGTCTGATTTTCCTGGTTAGAACCTCCAGTATAATAATGATTAGAAGTGGCAAGAGTGGACATCCTTTTCTTGTACCTGAAGCATACGTATGTATAATCAATACCTCAAAAGTGCCTAGTTCAGCTATGAAATAAAACTAGTGTTATTTGAAAGGGTTTTTTTAAAAGTATTTATTTATTTTTATTTGCCACTATACTAATGAGGAAGAAGGGGTTTCTAAATTTTGTCATTTATTTATTTGTTTGAGACAAGGTCTTTATTGCTCAGGCTGGAGTGCAGTGGTGAGATGGTGGCTTACTGCAGCCTTGACCTCCTGGGCTTAAGTAATTCTGCCTCAGCCTCCCAAGTAACTGGGGCAACAGGCATGCACCACCACATCTGGCTAATTTGTTTGCTTTTTGTAAAGATGGAGTCTCACTATGTTGCCCAGGGTGGTCTCAAACTCCTAAGGTGCAAGTGATTCTCACATCCTTCGCCTCCCAAAGTGTTGGGAGTATAGGCATGAGCCACCTCACTTGGCCAGAGGGTTGTTTTAAATTCACATTTTAATTATGTTGCTTCAGAGGGGTTCTTGAGGGTGGTCCTTATACTATCAGCACCTGAAAACTTGTTTGAGATGTAGGTTATTATTAGACTCTCCCCTGCAACTCTGAAAAGAACCAGGGGGTGGGAAGTTCACTTAGCCTTTTGCATGGTAAATGTAGTTTATCTTAAAATTAATAATGTGGCAGGGTGCAGCCGCTCTCACCTGTAATCCCAGCACTTTGGGAGGCCGAGGAGGGTGGATCACCTGAGATCAGGAGTTTGAGAGCAGCCTGGCCAACGAGGCGAAACCCCATCTCTACTAAAAACACAAAAATTAGCTGGGCGTGGTGGCAGACACCTGTAATCCCAGCTACTCATGAGGCTGAGGCAGGAGAATCGCTTGAACCCGGGAGGCGAGGTTGCAGTGAGCTTAGATTGCACCACTGCACTCCAGCCTGGGTGACAGAGCAAGACTCGTCTCAAGAAAACCACAAAAAACCCACAAAAAACCCCCCAAAAAACTAATAATACTACCAATGAGTAACACATACAGTGTTTTTTGTTTTTTTAAGACAGAGTTGGAGTTTCGCTTTTGTTACCCAGGCTGACAATGGTGCCATCTCGGCTCACTGCAACCTCCACCTCCCGGGTTCAAGCAATTCTCCTTCCTCAGCCTCCTGGGTAGCTGGGATTACAGGGGCCTGCCACCATGCCTGGCTAATTTTTTGTATTTTTAGTGGAGACGGGTTTCCCCATGTTGGCCAGGCTGGTCTCCCACTCCTGAACTCAGGTGATCTGCCCGCCTCGGGCTCTCAAAGTGCTGGGATTACAGGCGTGAGCCACCACACCCAGCCAATACAAGGTTTTACATTTATGGAACATGTAATTTTCACAAAGACTATTTATAGTACGTTTTTTCTTTCTTTTGTGTTTTTTAATATATGAGGAAACACCCCAGAGAGATTGTCAATTTTCTTTCTTTATTTTTTTTTTTTGAGATGGAGTTTTACTCTTGTTGCCCAGGCTGGAGTGCAGTGGCTCGATCTTGGCTCACTTCAGCCTCCACCTCCCGGGTTCAAGTGATTCTCCTCCCTCAGCCTCCCAAGTAGCTGGGATTACAGGTGTGTGCCACCATGCCCTGCTAATATTTGTGTTTTTAGTAGAGATGGGGTTTCACCATGTTGGCCAGGCTGGTTCTGAAACTCCTGACCTCGTGATCCTCCCACCTCAGCCTCCCAAAGTGCTGGGATTACAGACGTGAGCCACTGCACCCGACCTACAGATTTTCTTTTAAAAATTAGCTGGGTGTGATGGTGCACACCTTTAGGTGCAGCTACTTGGGAGGCTGAGGCAGGAGGATTGCTTGAGCTTGGGAGGTCGAGGCTGCAGTGAGCTGTGATTATGCCACTGCTCTCTAGAGTTGAGAAAGGCAAGACCCTTTCTCAAAAAACAAAACAAACAAAAACCACAATGAAATACCACTTCATACCCATTAGGATGGCTATGATAAAAAAACCAGTAACTAGCAAATATTGATGAAGACGTGGAGAAATGTACTACTGATGAGATTATAAAATTGTGCAGCCACTGTGGAAAACAGTATGGCAGTTCCTCAAAATATTAAACATTGAATTACCGCATAATCACCATATAATCCAGCAATTTCATGTCTGAGTATATATCCAAAAGAATTGAAAGCAGTGACTTGAACACATTTGTATACCAGTGTTTATAGCAGCATTATCCACAGTGACCAAAAGGTAGAAATAACTCAAGTATCCTTTGACAGATGAATGAGTAAACAAAATGTGGTATCTACATGCAACGGAGTATTTTTGACTCTTAAGAAGGGATGAAATTCTGATATATGCTACAAGAAGGAAAAATCTTAAAGACGTTATGCTAAATGAAATAAGCCAAATGCAGAAAGACAAATATTGTACGATTACATGTATATGTGGTAACTAGCATAGTCAAATTCATAGAGACAGAAAGTAGAATAATTGGTAACAAGGGGTTGAAGGGGAGTTAAGTGTTTAACATGTACAGATTTCCAGTTTGGGATGATGAAAAAGTTGTGGAAATGGATAGTGGAAATAGTTGCACAATAATGTGAATATACTTAGTGCCACTGAATTCTGTACTTGAAAATGTACAATTTTATGTTATGTGTATTTTACCATAATAAAAAAGTAGAACAAAAATGAGAAAAGGACTTGAATAGAGATTTCTCTAAAGAAGATATGCAAATTGCCAGTAAGTTCACAAGAAAATTTTCAACATCATTAGTCATTAGGGAAATGCAAATTATAATCACAATGAGAAGCCATTTCATACCCATTAGGGTGGCTTTTATCAAAGAAAAAGAAGGAATTTGGAGATACTGGAACCCTTGTGCATGGCTCATGGGAATGTAAAATGAGCTGATGGAAAACAGCATGGCAGTTCCTGAAAAAAATTCAAAATAAATGGTTCAGCAATTCCACTCCCAGCTGTCTACTCAGAAGAATTGAAAGCAAGGATCCAAACACATACTTGTACAGTAATGTTTATAGCAGCATTATTCACAAGAATTAAAAGGTAGAAATAACCCAAGTGTCCGTGAAGAGCTAAATGAATTAAAAAAAAATGTGGTGCATGCATAAAAGAAAAGGATTAAAATTATCATACATGCTACAACATGAAGAAACCTTGAAGACTTGAAATGAAATAAGCCAAACACAAAGGGACAAATATTATGTTTGTTTTTATATGTGTCTTAGTCTGTTTTTGCTGCTATAACAAAATACCAAAAACTGGGCAATTTAGAAAGAACAGAAATTTATTTCTTCCAGTTCTGGAGGCCAGGAAGTCTAGGATCAAGGTGCTAGCAGATTCAGTGTCTGATGTGGACTGCTTTGTCCTTCCAAGATAATGCTTCTTGCTGCATCCTCATATGGTAGAAGGGCGTAAAAGGGATGAATGCTGTGCCTCACATGGCAGAAGAGAAGGAAGGGCAAAAAAAGGCAAGTGCTGGGAGGACTCTTTGATACGTACCTAAATTGCATTCACAAGGGAGGAGCCCTTATGACTTTATCACCCCTTAATGGCCCCACCTCTTAATACTATTGCATTGGAGATTAAGTTTCAACATGAATATTTTGGGGACACAAACATTCAAACTGTGGCAATAAGGTATTCAAAACAGGCAAATTCATAAAGACAGAAATAGAAATGTATTTACCAGGTGACTGGGGGAGAGAGGAGTGAGAAGCTTTTGTATAATGAGTACAAAGATGAAAAAAATCTGGAAATAAATACAGATGCTTCTCAACTTACAATAGGGTTGCATCCTGATAAACCCATAGTAAGTGGAAAATATCATATGTCAGAAATGCATTCAACATGCCTAACTTACCAAACATCATAGCTTAGTCTAGCCTACCCTAAATGTGCTTAGAACACTTACATTAGCCTACAATTGGGCAAAATCATCTAATACAAAGCATGTTTTATAATAAAATTTTGAACATCTCATATAATTTATTGAATACTGAAAGTGAAAAACAATGGTTGTATGGGTACTCGAAGTATGGTTTCTACTGAATGCTTACTGCTTTTGTACTGTTGTAAAGTTAAAAAATTGTTAAGTTGAACCATTGTAAATTGGGGACCAACTGGTGATGGTTATACAACATTGATACCACTGAGCACCGTACCTAAGATCATATCATCAATGAAAATTTATGAACCATTTGAAATATATGGGTATGTGGGTGTTTCTTTAGGTCTCTTTGTTCCATTGTACCTTTTATGAGTTGGATAAGTGAATTTATCAATGGTCAGGCAGAATTTTTTGAGGATAAAAGCATAAAATCCAAATATAGAGAAGTGACATTGTTATCTTATCGACTAGTTGGAAAAGGGGGGTTTAAGTTTTTTTTCCTAATTATGAATCTGTATGTCATTATTTGAATCTATCACCTTTATACTTCACAATACACACTAGTTTTTTTTTTTTTTTTGAGACGGGGTCTTGCTCTGTCGCCAGGCTGGAGTGCAGTGGCACAATCTCGCCTCACTGCAACCTCTGCCTCCTGCGTTCAAGCGATTCTCCTGTCTCAGCCTCCCAAGTAGCTGGGACTACAGGCGCGCACCACCATGCCCAGCGAATTTTTGTATTTTTAGTAGAGATGGTGTTTCACCATGTTGGCCAGGACGGTCTCCATCTGTTGACCTCGTGATCCGCCCGCCTTGACCTCCCAAAGTGCTGGAATTACAGGCATGAGCCACGGTACCTCACACTAAAATTTTAAGTGGCTGATTTAAGTGATATTTTTCGCTGCTGCCAGAGGACTGTTGCAAAGATATGTGTGATTTAACGAATATTTATATGTCATGATACTTCTAAGATGCGTGAATTGGGTGTGGGCCTATTCAAGCTGCCTTGCTTGGCTGATTAATGAGTATTTCTCACCCTTTGTTGTATGCTTATAAATAAAATGTGCATCATAGTCACCATATCCATGTATCATTTCGAGGGCATTAGGTCATATTGAGCTTTTTCTTTGCATTTGTCATGATTAACTTTTTTGTGACTTTGGACAAGTTATCTTTTTCCTTGTAAGTTTATCTCATCTGAGAAGGGGATTTTCCCCTCAATTTTAGTATAACCCTGTTTTATTTTTCTGCTTCTTAAAATGGATGAGAATGACAAAAGAAATTTGCTAGCTGACTGGTTAGAGGAGTTAGTTGTGATGGCAGTCATCATTGCTCTGTATGTATGTACTTGGTAGTACATAGAAATATTCATCAAATGATTACTTCAGTTGAGTTGCATTTGTAGAACTACATGAAGTTGAATTTTAACTTAAATTTGAACTCCTAAGTGTCTTCTAAAAAATATTCTATATGTAACATTGAATAGCTTTTTTCTGTATGCAGAATGCAGAAGATTTCTTGTTATTCAGTTACTCATTTCATTCTTTCATTTTTGTTCACTTATAAAATATTTATTATCTTCTATGTGTCAAGCACCATTCAGGGTACAGGGCACTGAAAAAAATTCTAGAACTCAGAATCGAAGTGTCCACTGTCATATGTCACATAGTAGACATTAGATAGTAGTAATTGTTAAACTCTTGGAGAACATTGTAGAATTTTAAAAGCTAAATGAGAAGTTGATATGTTATCCAGTGACTGTTACTCAAGTTCTGACTATAATGGAGTGAATTTTAAAAATTAACAGTTTAAAAAAATAGAAAAAAGGAAATGTAACAGAAAACTGCAGTATTTTAAAATATTTCTTTATACTGAAGAGATCAGTGTTAGAAGTGAGGCCTAAATTATATGAAGCAGCAAGTCTGTCTGATTCTGGGCATAATTGCCGAAAGCAATTCAGAAGAATCTTCAGATTTTGAATGTGAAGAAAGCTTTGACTTAATGTTTGTTTATGATACTAGGGGAAAATGATGAATAAATGTATGCAATTGTAGGTGAATAAAAAGTATGCTTTTAAATTATCTATTCATTTTGGTAATGCTTTTGTTAAATGGAAGGTGGCACTTACAACTAAAGGTTTCTTAGAATTGGGGGAATATGGTATACTTCTCTGAGTGTTATCAAGTTCAAATGTTACAATTCATATGAAAGAGCTTAGTACGATAATGGGGAAAATAATAGTAACATTGATTATAAAGGCAACAAACTTAATGATTAAGAGTGAAAGTCCTGGAATCAGACTTCTTGGATTTTAATCCTGTTACCAACACTTAACTAGGTGTGTAACTTTGAGTCAGTTACTCAGTTAATGTCTTATTTTCCTCATTTGTTAAATGGGTATAATAGTATGTGCCTCAGGTTAAATGGGCTTAATGTGTAAGTGCCTAGACTAGTACTTGGAGTATAGGAAATGCTTAATGAGATTCAATGTATGTTATTTGTTATGAAGCTGTGAAACACTGTGTATATGATTTTAAAATGTGCTATTTAAATTCATACTTTACAGTTTAACTTGCCATTTTAAAAAGCAACATTTGATTACTGATTGAAAAAATTTTTTGGTCTCATTTGTGCAGAGCTTATATTTTTCTCCTTGCCTAAGCTGTTCTTCATTTGTTTGTATAAATATTGGCATGTTTATTTACCTTGGACTAGTCCATGTCACCTTTCACTAATCAAAGCTGTTATTTCTGGGTTATTAATCATCCCACCCAATTGGGTGGCAGCAGTAAACCCTGAGGGCTTGCCATCTCTCCCACTTTATAAGTTATTACTGTCATTATTGTTTAAATAATTAAGGAGAGGTTTTTTTTTTGCCAAATTCTTTGCTGTTTGGAAATAAGGAATGGAACAAGTAATAAATATGCTGAAAATATATGTTTTCTTAGTTCACTTTAAGAAATTGATTTATTTAGGAAATGGTGTTTGTTTTAAATTACACTTGATTTTTTTGAAAAATTTGTATGGGCATATTTCTTAAAATGTTAGGTCTATAGTATAAAAAGAATTAAAACACCAAAGATTTCTATTGATTTATATTCTTTGGTTATTCTTTTATATTTCTTGACTGGTATTCTGTATGGTTCCCAAAACCAGTCAAGAACTGTAAAACTCTTACTCTACATACTTGCCAGCAAAAAAAAAAATAAAAATAAAAATAAATAAAACTCACTTTGTCAGTTTTATCCATTCTCATATCAGAACCTTTTTGTTTGCATGTGACAGGAAACATCAATTCTAACAGTCTTAAGCAGAAAACATTAGTTTATATAAATGGTAGGTCCATTAGTAGACCTGGCTTCTGGTGTGTCAGGGTCACAGTGATGTCACTACTTAGTTTTTCTTTTTTTGTACCTTGGCTCCATTCTAAGGCAAATTATTCTGTTGTAGAACTAAGATGATTATAAAGCTTCAGGCTTGCATACTTTATAATTACAAGTCCAGTGGACCCCTTTCTAATAGGTCCCACTAAGGTTACATTTCTGCCCTGACATAGTTGCTGTGGAGAATGAGTTTAAAAGTAGGTTTGCCAGAAAGAATTGAGGTTACTGATTGTTATGAGTTGAATTGTGTCCCTTCAAAATTTGCCAGTACTGGAGAATGTGACCTTACTTGGATATAACATTGATGCAGATATAATTAGCTAAGGTTATATGAAGTAGAGTGGGGCACAGATCCAGT
The DNA here is from genome assembly GCF_000001405.40 of Homo sapiens. Classification (NCBI taxonomy): domain Eukaryota; kingdom Metazoa; phylum Chordata; class Mammalia; order Primates; family Hominidae; genus Homo; species Homo sapiens. The sequence continues at coordinate 51,494,818 of NC_000001.11, read as the reverse complement.
ATGACTGGCATCCTTATAAAAAGGGAAATTTGAACGCAGACATACAGGGAGAATGGCATGGGAAGATTGGAGGTAGGCTGCCACAAGCCAAAGAACTACCAAGAGTAGGAGAGAGGCCTGGAACAGATCCTTCCCTAATGCCTTCTGGCTTCCAGATTGTGAGACAGTAAGTTTCTGTTCTGAGCCATCTAGTTTATGGTACTTTGTTATGGCCCTTGTGAACTGATACAGTGATCATGAATTTATAATAGTGGTCTACCTTGTTGAGTGACTTTCTCAGCTGCAGCATCAAAGAAAAGTTTTTAGATGGTTTCATTCAGGTTTGGGATTTTGCTATATTGGTGTCATAAGACAAGAGGAGCAAGGGAATTTAGGTTATTGGCAGGAGAATTATTGAAATGATGAATTGTAGAATCTAAACTGAATAAGGTGGAAGAGAAAGTAAAATAGAGAGGGCCTGAGGGATCAAAGTCTATTGGGCCCATGGATAAGAGGTTTTATAGAGGTCAAAGGATTATAATCTGGAAGAAGAGGTTGTGGTTGGAGGACAAGGTGCTTGAAATAGTGATTAAGGAGGTGGAGCACTTTTGGTTGAAGATAGAAGGGCAAGGAAGGATTTTACTATGGGACAAGGAGGGTGACTGGGACATAATATATGTGTTCACTGTTGATCCTGTGTTTTGGAGAGGTTCTTGAAGTTAAAGAGATCAAGGAAGTAAGAAGCCAGGCTGTGGATGGGTTGTGCAAATTGATAATTGAAATTACTAAATTTGATGTAGGGTTGGGGTAGAGAAGATGACAGTGAGCCATCAAAGCCTTAGGTAAATGAGGTAGAGACCAGGAGCTTGAAAGTTAACATGAAAAGGAAGAGGAGAGAGTAATTTAGTTGAAAGTTAAGAGCCTCAGCTGGGCACCGTGGCTCATGCCTGTAATCCCAGCACTTTGGGAGGCCGAGGCTGGTGGATCACCTGAGGTCAGGAGTTCATGACCAGCCTGGCCAACATAGTAAAACCCCGTCTCTACTAAAAAAAATACAAAAATTAGCCAGGCGTGACGCCTGTAATCCCAGCTACTCGGGAGGCTGAGGCAGGAGAATCGCTTGAACCCAGAAGGCGGAGGTTGCAGTGAGCCGAGATCGTGCCATTGCACTCCAGCCTGGGCGACAGAGGGAGACTCTGTCCTCCCATCCACCCCCCAAAAAAAGAAAGTTAAGAGCCTCAAAAGAATAGAGCTTTATTTTTATTTATTTATTTATTTATTTATTTATTTATTTATTTATTTATTTATTTAATTTGAGACTGAGTCTTGCTCTGTCGCCCAGGCTGGAGTGCAGTGGTGCGATCTCGGCTCACTGCAAGCTCCGCCTCCTGAGTTCATGCCATTCTCCTGCCTCAGCCTCCAGAGTAGCTGGGACTACAGGCGCCCACCACCACGCCTGGCTAATTTTTATTTTTTTGGAGGATGGAGTCTCGCTCTGTCATCCAGGCTGGAGTGCAGTGGCGCGATCTTGGCTCACTGCAAGCTCCGCCTCCCGGGTTCACGCCATTCTCCTGCCTCAGCCTCCCGAGTAGCTGGGACTACAGGCGCCCACCACCACGTCTGGCTAATTTTTTGTATTTTTAGTAGAGATGGGGTTTCACCATGTTAGCCAGGATGGTTTCAATCTCCTGACCTCATGATTCGCCCGCCTTGGCCTCCCAAAGTGCTGGGATTACAGGCGTGAGCCACTGTGCCTGGCCTTTTTTTTGTATTTTTAGTAGAGACGGGGTTTCACTGTGTTAGGCAGGATGGTCTCGAACTCCTGATCTTGTGATCCGCCCGCCTTGGCCTCCCAAAGTGCTGGGATTACAGGCGTGAGCCACCGCGCCCGGCTGTTGTTTTTGTTTTTTAAAACAAGAAGTTAAATAGTGTAATGTGGACAAGCTGCTGGTGAGCAAAGAGGAGTTTATTCACATTTCTAAAACCTGAGATAGGCAGGTCGTTAAAACCTGACAGCTGCCATTTGAGGGGCTACAAAGGAGGTGAGAGGATTTTTATAAATTCGTATATTAGTCATTCATGCTTAAAGATCATGCTTCTTCCACTGATCTGTTTTTTTTGTTTGTTTGTTTGTTTTTTTGGCCTACCTAGAATGATGTATATAGGGCTCACTAAGTCTTCTGATGAAAGACCCAAGCTATACTTTGCTTTCATTCTGTCTCTATGTCACCTAGATTTTTGATCAAATTGAGTTGTATTCAATTAAAAACTGGCCCATTACTGGTTTGAGTTGGTGATATGGTCTTTACATCCATCGTTTTTCAGTAGTATTTTCTGTACTATCTCTTTGAAATTCTTTTGTCTATTCTAAAGTCCCTTTCTTCTTTCATTTTTGAAAGAAGTGAATCTCCAGAGCAAATATATTTTTTTATCTGGATTTTGAAAACTTTCTTTAGAATACTGTATTTACAGTATTCCTAGGTCTTTGCCTGCTAAGTCAATTTGTAATGTTTTGTTATGGAACAAACATGAGATGTTAGCGTGTTTGCAGAAGGTAGCATTACAATTTTTACTAGAATTTAAGCCCTTGAAGGCAGGAGCCCTATCTGATTATTTTAACTCCAGACACCTTAACCTATTGTCTTGTACCTAGAAAGCATCCAGTTTATGTCTATTAAATTATTAAATGAGGGCCAGGCACAGCGGCTCATGCCTGTAATCTCAGCACTTTGGGAGGCCGAGGCAGGTGGATCACTTAAATCCAGGAGTTTGAGACCAGCCTAGGCAACATGGTGAAAACCCATCTCTACAAAAAATACAAAAATTAGCTGGGTGTGGTCCCATCTGCTTAGGAGGCTGAGGGAAGAATCACTTGAGCCCCGGAGGTGGAGGCTGCGGTGAGTGGAGATTGTGCCACTGCACTCCAGCCTGGGCAACAGACTGGGCAACACTCTGTCTCAAAAAAAAAAAAAAAAAAAAATTAAATGAGTTGGGAATTACAGAGCTGAGGAATATGTGCACTGTGCATTCTGTAAGGGAACTGCTCAAGTGGCTGCTTGTGTTTCCTTGACTCCCCACCCTCTCCAGTTCTAAAGGTGAGGACTGCCCAGGTGATTTGCCTTTCTCTGCCCCACCACGCCCTCCACCCTAGCTTTAGAGTTGTTCTCCTTTCTCAAATTTCTCTTATTACTAGCTTCTGTAATAAGCAAACAGCTTCCGGTTTCTATTTTCCTTGTCACTTTGGATTGCTGTTAATCACTATTGCTCCTTACTATTTTTCATTCTTCTGTTTACTCTTAGTTTTCATCCTGTTTTCTTTTACATTGTAAAATATACAAGCCTTTTCTAGATATGGATAGCCTATCAAAAGCTTCTAAATGTTCTGTCTTGCAAACTATAAACCTATGTGTATAAAAACATAGACTCTTGGTGTATTCATTTAGTACTTTGGCCTTAGGAGTTGCTATTCTATCTTTAAAGGGTGGTGGTGGTGGTTGAGGTGGGAGTTGAAAGGCTGTGGTGGCTAGTCCCCATTCTGATTTCTCAGCCCTCTTGAAAATGGAGTAATAGAAGGTGGAATTCTAAGTAGTTGAATTTTTATGTGTTAATATGTCAGAAATAATTTTATGGCAAATTACAGAAAATTGTGTGCATTAAGAGACTAAAAAATTTTTTAAAGAGCAAAACTAAAAAGAGTGGTTTATTTGAAGGGATAAAATCTATTCCATTGTCTTCCTTTTACTACCTGGCCCTGATTTGCCATCGCACAGTGTTCTTACTGCCTGATTTGCCACCTTCTCTCTACTTCACATTGGTCTTCAATACTGCCTTTTCATGGGAAGTTGCAAAAAGTAGTACCGAGAGGCTCTATGCACCCTTCATCCAATTTTCCCTAATTGTAACATCTTACATAACTACAGCAATAGCAAAAACAGGAAATTGACATTGGTATAACCCACAGACCTTATTTAAATTTTGCCGGTTTTATAGATACTCATTAGTGTGTTTGCATATATAGTTCTATCCATATGCAGTTTTATTATGTGTGGGTTCATGTAACTGTAAGCGTAATCAAAATAAAGACTTGCTCTGTCACAAAGATCCTTTGTGTTACCCTCTATAATCATACCCACTCCCCTCTCCATTTTATTAATTTATTTACTGACGACTCCCTAGTATCTGACCTTGTGATTAACTGAGAAAAGATTGGCATTATGTTTTAGAGGTTGTCTCTTTATTTTACTTTCACTTCTGTTTTTTTTTTTTTTTTTTTTTGAGATGGAGTCTCGCACTGTTGCCCAGGCGGGAGTGCAATGGCATGATCTCGGCTCACTGCAACCTCTGCCTCCCGGGTTCAAGCGATTCTCCTGCCTCAGCCTCCCGAGTAGCTGGGATTACAGGCACCCGCCACCACGCCCAGCTAATTTTTTGTATTTTTAGTAGAGATGGGGTTTCACCATGATGGTCAGGCTGGTCTTGAACTCCTGACCTCGTGATTTGCCCGCTTTGGCCGCCCAGAGTGCTGGGATTATAGGTGTGAGCCACCATGCCTGGCCTTCCACATTGTACTGTAACCATTTATAATAAGACTAAATCATTTAAAATTTCAGTTTATTTTGTGTGTTAGAGAATCTTGTACTCTCAAAGTCATGTACTCTAATATCTCCTCCCACATAACCCTCCCCTAAAAATGACACCAGAAATTCCATATGAGACAATTCTTGACATTTAATTATTAACCTATAAATTTCCTTAGTAACTGGGATCTTTTTTATTACTACTTGATACACTTTGGTGTTGATTTACTTATGTGTTAACATTTGCTAGATTATGCTGCACTAAGAAACAAGCCAAAATATGAGTAGCTTACAATAAGAAGGGTTTATTTGTTTTTCACGTTATAGGCTTCCTAGGAATCAGCTATGGTTCTGCTCTGTGATTCTTTCTCATTTGAGGATCCGGGCTGGAGGAGCAGTCCCTATTTGTGACATATTGTTCTCTTGGTAGAGAGAAAACAGTAAGACCTGTCAGAAACACACAATAGCTGTTGAAGCTTCTACTTGGAACTGGAACTTTCTCCCAGATTCAGTGGCCAAAACAAGTTATATGGCCAAACCCACCCTTGGAACACCCACGGAGAGACACCACAAGTCACATGGCAACAGGCAGGGATATTAATACTACTCTTAAAGAGAGAGAGGCTATATACTCTGTGTATACAAGAGGGAAACAGACGACTGGGAATTATAATACCACCTAAACACCTTAAGATGCTGTACTAGTCACCTGAGGCCAGGAGTTTGAGACCAGCCTGCAAAACATGGTGAAACCCTGTCTCTACTAAAAATAAAATAGTCTGGCGTGGTGGTGTGCACCTGTAGTCCCAGCTACTTGGGAGGCTAAGGCTGGAGAATTGCTGGAACCCGGGAGGCGGAGATTGCAGTGAGCCGAGATCACGTGATTGCACTCTAACCTGGGTGACGGAGGGAGACGCCATCTCCAAAAAAAAAAAAATACATACATACATACATACATATATATATATATATATATGGTATACTAGGCTATACTTTGTAAAAATTTTTTTCTTAGTAAAGTTTATTATATTTACATTTCTATAGCTATATATGTAATTATAATAACATATTTTTTCCTTAACAAAAATAGCAGTTCCTCCTTTTGTTTTGTTTTTTTTTTTTACATTAGTTAGGATATTGGTTTAAACCAAAATCACAAATTTCAAGTAACAAGTAACAATCCAAGTGGGGTAGGTGGTGTAGAGTGCTGTAGGAGCTTCATGATGGTGTCAGGGACTCAGGCTTTTTTTCTCGTGTTGCTGTATTTTTCCCATGTTTTCCGTCGCAATCCAAGATAGCTTCTCTAGATTCTGTCACTATATCTGTATTCTAGCCAGCTATGAGAAGGGTTAGGAGTCAGAAGGCATTTCCTTTCTCTTTAGATGCACATCCTCGGAGTTGGACACATTTCTTTTATCATTCCATTGATGAATAACTGAAATTGCAAGAGAGGTTGGGAAATGTAGGTTTTAGCTAGGTGTGTGTATGTAAAGCTTAGGGGTACTATTACTAAAGAAAGGAGGAGAGGCTGGGTGTAGTGGCTCATGCCTATAATTCCAGCTACTTGGGAAGATTGTTTAAGCTCAGAGGTTTGAGGCAGCAGTGTGATTGTATCACTGCACTTCAGCCAGGACTGAGTGGGATCCTGTCTCAAAACCAACCAGATCAGGAAACAGGCTTTTCAAGGAGGTAAAATAAGCTACTAAAGATCATACCTAAGAAGTAGTAGAATGGGCTTTGAATACCTTTCTGATACAAAGTCTGAGTTTTTTTTTTTTTTTTTTTTTTTTACAAAACTTTATTGGCTTTCTAGCATCTCTTGTTTACAGGTACTTTACATTTTTCAGACTAGTAAGAAATAGCAATGGACTCTTTCAAAAGAATTCTGACATTTATGAATATTTAACTTTGTGACAGCTGGTAAGAATTTATGATATAGGTAATGAATATATAATTGCTTTTAAATTGTAATAACAGAATTGTAAAAGGTCAGATTTTGATTTTGACAGTTGGAGTTAAAGTTTTCCTTTAGAAATTAATTTGATTGTTAAAAATTCATATGCAGTTTTATATACTGATCACATTTGGGGATTTTTATATTTTTCTCTAGATTGAAAATAGCCTTATTGTTTCATTCTTATTATATAATTAGGATGTGTTTATTCTCAGAGTTTCCAGAGACTGCAGAGTAGTATGAAGAAGAATGTAAAAATCATTTATGATCTTGCTATCCAGAGATAATCATTGTTACCATTTAATAAGCTATGCCTTTCAATTTTTTCCTCTGTTCATTCATTATATGTGATTTTTTTTTCCCTGCCTAAAAAGTGATCATGTTCATAGTCCGACAATAACAACAAAAGCCAATTTTACTGAGACACACCAGAAACACTCTTTGATCATCTTGCTTGATGAGTGACTTGGCACTTTGGATGGCTTTTTCCATTCTCACTTAGCTGTATCACATTAGTGTAGTTATCAGCACAGGGTGTACTTTAGAACACTTTGGTGAGCTAATATCTTCTCCTATGTGTTTAGGTAGTAACCAATGAACCTGTAATGTGAGGATTATTAAGGCACAGGTTGGAGATCAGGATTTCTTACTGTGTATGAGGTTTTTTTTCCCTGTATTCAAAAAATCCAATTAAAATTAACTTTTTATTATTGAGGGAACATATTTAATTTGCTGTCTTTGGCAAAGTATTTATACTGTTGTCATAACTAAGTAGATGACTATATAATTTTTCATTCAAACTGGTACATTTTTGAGAATGAAAGGGGGTACTACAAATATTTAAAATTCTATATATTTTTGGAATATTTACTTTTTTCAACCATTAAAATAGTTTTTATTGCATTAGTAGATCAATAAAATAGCTCCATTTAAAGTCTGTTTTCAAAAACAATTTCTAAAACATTTTGTTGTACATTATAACAAAGTTTTTAACATGGACTTCAGTTGAATATTTAAAAACAAACTATTTTTGGTAATAAATATTTTTATCAGTTTCTCGGTCAAATCTGTCACTAATACTGTGTCACTGATACTTTTCTGAATATGATTTTCCATCTGGTTTTACTAGTTTTAATTTTTTCATAAAATTGCAGTATTTTGCAGAGTTACATTTTATACTTGTGGTTGTTAACTTCTACAGTTGATGCTTCACTATAACCAATAATGTTTTTAGTTGCTAACATACTTTATATGTGCTGCTGTCCCCAGTTAGCTCAGGAAAAATTTTGCTAGATGGAGAATATTCTTAATTCTAATTTTTTTCTTATTGAAAATTATAGGCTGGGCGCAGTGGCTTATGCCTGTAATCCCAGCATTTTCGGAGGCCGAGGCAGATGGATCACCTGAGGTCAGGAGTTCAAGACTAGCCTGGCCAACGTGATGAAGCCCCCGTCTCTACTAAAAATACACACACACACACACAAAAATTAGCCAGGTGTGGTGGCGGGAGGCTGAGGGAGGAGAATCACTTGACCCTGGGAGGCAGAGGTTGCAGTGAGTGGAGATCATGCCACTGTACTCCAGCCTGGGTAACAAGAGCAAAACTCTGTCTCAAAAAAGAAAAAAAAGAAAAGAAAATTATAAATATATCAGTCTCAGTATTTTCACAGGCAGTGTCCTTTTGCCTGTATTAAAGGTAATCTCTGTTTTTACTTTTCATTTTTTATAGAGACAGGATCTCCCTATATTGTCCAATCTAGTCACAAGGTACTGTCTTTGATACAAATAAGTTGTCCCTATTTATGATTATTTTATATGTTCCACCAGATTTAAGTGTTGCAAAATTGTAGGCCTTCTCTAATTTTTTTTTTTTTTTTTTTTTTGAGATGCAGTCTCGCTCTTGTAGCCCAGGCTGGAGTGCAATGGCACAGTCTCAGCTCACTGCAACCTCTGCCTCCTGGCTTAAAGCAATTCTGCTGCCTCAGCCTTCCTAGTAGCTGGGATTACAGGTGCCCGCCACCATGTCCAGCTATTTTTTTTTTTTTGTATTTTTAGTAGAGACGAGGTGTTGCCATATTGGCCAGGCTGGTCTCGAACTCCTGACCTCAGGTGATCCACCCGCCTTGGCCTCCCAAAGTGTTGAGATTACAGGCATGAGCCACTGTGCCTGGCCTGTAATTTTCTTTCACCTACTTAAAAATAGAAAGACTCGACTGCGCATGGTGGCTCACACCTGTAATCCCAGCACTTTGGGAGGCTGAGGTGGGTGGATCACCTGAGGTCAGTAGTTCAAGACCAACCTGGCCAACATGGCGAAACCCCATCTCTACTAAAAATACAAAAATTAGCTGGATGTGGTGGCGGGCACCTGTAATCCCAGCTACTTGGGAGGCTGAGGCATGAGAATCGCTTGAACCTGGGAGGCAGAGGTTGCAGTGGGCCAAGATAGTGCCATTGCACTCCACCCTGGGCGACAAGAGCGAACTCCATCTCAAAAAAAAGACCCTCGATGGAACTTCTAAAATTCATTCCAAAATATAATGATAAAATTTCAAAATGAAATCTCGTGTACTATTTGAACTCTCATTTAATTTGTTCGGTTCTTCCTTGCTTTTGAAGGATATATTTCAGTGTCTTGGCAAACTTTGTTGATAATAATTGGTATTTGCTAAAAGCTTCAAAAGCTGAAGGTTTTCTGGAGCTTTATTCATTAAACTTGTTTTTGTTTGTTTGTTTGTTTTTTTAAGGAGATGATGTCTCACTGTGTTGCCCAGGTTGGTCATGAATTCCTGGGCTCAAGTGATCCTCCCATCCCAGCCTCCCAAATAGCTGGGACTACAGGTGTGCGCCATCATGCCCAGCTCACTAAACTTTACTTTTGATTAAAGGTTTCCAACTGATTTTGAACAGTATGCAACCAATTTCTAGAGGACTTATTTTTAAAAAGACTCACTATTGAGACATTGATTGGATTTATAAAGTAGTTTTTTGAAAGTACTAGCCTCGGAAGTCCGATGACAGGTTGCAAGGAGAATACACATATTGCTCTGTTGCACTATTTTATTGTATTCAGTATCAGTCTTATCCTTAAAAATTTAACAGTGGGAATATGAAAACATTTATAAATGTTGACGTTTGAAGCTGACTCATTAATAGTGATGTCACTAGAGCTCCATGATAAATAGAAACTGCCTCAGTGGTTCTCTGCAAATTGTCTGCCCATCTATTTTCTGGAGAAATGAAAATTTAGAGCTTAGTTTTTATTGGATACAGTGATGTCTTTATAGCTCATTGCTCCTGAAAAGGCTTATGAAATAATAAAATGGTTACCAAACAACAAAATAAATAAACAGTTGTAGACTTGTACAATACAATAAATGACAAAACCATCTAAGAGTTTTCATACTATTGACTTTGCACATACTTCATTTGCACCCAACCTGCAATTTCCCACTGACATAGCCAGCTGGTGGCCTAGTGTGTCTTGTGGTCACTGTACATGCCACTGCACTGCCTGGCATACCAGGTAACCAACAGGAGCACCAGTGTCAAATATTTCTCCTAATATTTTGCAAGACCATACAGAGTTAATTGCCCATGGTTGCTTAAGTCTGAGGATACTTTTCAGTAAGTCTATGCACTCCCCTTGCAAAGAAGTTGTTTTGTTGAATCTGTAAAGAATCAGAACAAGAAAGATGGAATTATCACTAGTTCTCTTCCAGATTTCATCACTTGTTTATGTGGTGAAAGCACTTATAGACTACTAGTTGATAACTTGGCCAGAAACTAGATATACACAGTAGAGATACAAAATCCATTCTGGTTTTAGTGTATTTTGATATAATGATTGATAATAGTTTTTTTAAAATTTAAAATTTAATTTAATTTTTTATTTAAAAAATTTTTTTAAATGGAGACAAGATCTCGCTGTGTTGCCTAGATTGGTCTCAAACTCCTGGTTTCAAGCAGTCCTCCTGCCTCGGCCTCCCAAAGTGCTGAGATTACAGGCGCGAGCGACTACACCTGGCCCAATAATAGTTTCTTTTTAAAAATGGGAAATCGGAGACATATGTTAAGCTGAATGGGATGCTGGGACAATGACGGTAAATCAAGATTTTCCTGGGCATACCAGGGCATATGGGAAGCAACACAGAGCTGGGAGCAGGACACCTAAGTCCTGACTCTGACTTTTTTTTGAGAGACAGGGTCTCACTCTGTTGCCCAGGCTAGAGTGCAGTGGCACAATCACAGGTCACTGTAGCTTTGACCTCCGTGGCTCAACCAATCCTCCTGCCTCAGCCTCCTGAGTAGCTGACACTATAGATGCATGCCACTATGCCCGGCTAATTTTTGCATTTTTGGTGGAGATGGTGTTTCTCTACATTGCCCAGGCTGATCTCAAACTCTTAGATTGAAGCAATCCTCCCCCAATAGCTTCCCAAATCCCCTCCTGGGATTACAGGCATGAACCACCACATCCGTCTGACTCTGCCTTTTTTTTTTTTAGGTGGAGTCTTGCTCTTTTGCTAGGCTGGAGTGCAGTGGCGTGATTTCAGCTCACTGCAACCTCCACCTCCCGGGTTCAAGCAATTCCCCTGCCTCAGCCTTCCACGTAGCTGGGATTATAGGCATGCACCACCCTGTCCAGCTAATTTTTTGTATTTTTGTAGAGACGGGCTTTCACCATGTTGGCCAAGATGGTCTTGATCTCCTGACCTCGTGATCCGCCCACCTTGGCCTCCCAAAGTGCTGGGATTACAGGCACATGCCACCGTGCCTGGCTGACTCTGCCTTTTAAAGGCCTGGAGAGGTAACCTCTCTGAGACTGGATGTATTAGGGTTCTCCAGAAAAACTGAACCAGTATGAGACACACACACACACACACACACACACACACACACACACACACTTGCAGTCTTGAGTTCGAATATATATATCTGTGTGTATGTCATACCTGTGATAAAGTTTAATTTATAAATTAGGCACAGTAAGATTAACAACAAAACTAATAGTGAAATAGTACAATTATAACAATATGCTGTAATAAAATTTATGTGAATGTGGTTTCTCTCTCTCTCAACATATCTTATTGTATTATACTCATCCTTTTTGTGATCTGTCAGCCTGATAACTGAGTCGGCTACTAAGTGACTAATGGGCAGGTACCATATACAGAGTAGATGCCCTGGACAAAGGGATTCACGTCCTGGGTGGGATGGCATGAGATTTCATCATGCTACTTGGAATGGTTTACAATTTAAAAGTTATGAAATGTTTATTTCTGGAATTTTTCATTTAATACTCTGACGGCGAGCAACTGAGGGTAACTAAAACTGTGGAAAGTGAAACTGTGGATAAGGGGAAACTACTGTGTGTGTGTGTACACATTTTATGTATTTTTAAAATTATGCTTTCCTTCCCCCTCACCCACTTAATAAGTCCTGTCAAATCTATGTTACAAACTTTTTTTCAAGCCATACCCTTCTCTTCTGCCATTGTCAATGTTCAGCCCCTCAACCAGACCATTAAAATTACTTCCTAAGGCCGGGTGTGGTGGCTCATGCTTGTAATCCCAGCACTTTGGGAAGCCACAACGGGTGGATCACTTGAGATCAGGAGTTCGAGACCAGCCTAGACAACATGGCGAAACCCCATCTCTACTAAAAATACAAAAATTAGCCAGGCATGGTGGTGCACGCCTGTAATGCTGCTACTTGGGAGGCTGAGGCAGGAGAATCACTTGAACCTGGGAGGCGGAGGTTGCAGTGAGCCTAGATCGTGCCACGCCACTGTACTCCAGCCTGGGCGACTTCATTTTTTTTTACTCTACAATGGCAGATGAAACCCTTCATAAGTTGTCTTCTACAAAATTTTATAATCTTATCTCCCTATCCCTCTTATCGTTCAGAACTTCTTGCTGTTCTTTTTAGACATAACTGAGTTTTCTGTTGATCGCATGCCTTTGTGCATACTGCTATCTCTGTGTAGAATCACCCTCTCCCCATCTTCCCCATACCTCAAGTTCCTGCTCTGATGTCACCCCATGAAGCCTTCCTGGATTCCCATCCTGATCCCAGAACACTCTTACACATTCATATGGAGGCAAACTTGATCCTTCAAACCTTTTTTTTCTTTTTTGAGACAGGGTCTCAGTCTGTTAACCAGACTTGAGTACAGTCACAGAGTCACAGCTCACCGCAGCCACAACTGCCTGGGCTGAGGCAGTTCTCCCACCTCAGCCTCCCAAGTAGCTGGGACTACAGGCATGTGCCACCACACCTGGCCAATTTTTAAATTATTTGTAAAGACGAGGTCTCACTGTGATGCCCAGGCTGGTCTCAAACTCTTGGGTTCAAGCAGTCCTCCTGCCTCAGCCTCCCAAAGTGCTGAGATTACTGGTGTGAGCCACTGCACCCAGTCGATCCTTCAAACATTGAATTTCAGATGAGTCTGTTCATAAGCTGACCAAGGAACTCTTTGAACTGTAGTGTGAATTTAATGGAACTGCCTTTCTGCAAGCAGTTTATATCTGATGACATCACTACCTTTCTGTATGTCAGTTTGTATATTCATTTAATTGTTTTATTGAAGTGGTTTTTGAAATGTATTCATAGGTACTTTGGGTACTTGGGTAGAGGATGAATTCTTGGGGATTTGGGCCTCTCAACTGGCTTTAGAGAAAGCATTTCATTCTCAATTTGTTACATATTGGGTTTCTGGGTAAAATATTAGATGAAGAGGAGTTTTGATGTCAAAAACAAAATTTAAGATTCTTGTTTCATTTCTTGTCTACCTGATTCTTAGTAACCCATGTGACTATCTTTATCTATTCTCTGTCTCACGCTCCCCAAGAAGAAACAAAATCTAACCCCTGAAATCAAGGATATTTTATCTTATTCATCTTTGTTTCTCAAATATCTGTTGAATGAATGCCAAATATGTTAATAGAAGTTAATGAATAGCATCTAATTTTTATTAATGTGTTTATTTCAGTTATCAAGTGGGAATCCTGTATATGAAAAATACTATAGACAGGTAAGATTTTTGTTTCATTGTTTGCCTGGATTGAACATTAAATGTACTGTCAACTCTTGATTGTATGCCTGTAGATTACCAGCTAGCTCGATAAATTTGATGTGTCTTGTTTTCAACATCTTGTTTACAGCCTCCACTTTGAGTACTTAATGCATTTGACAATCCCAGAGAAATGAAGGAAAGATAATTAAGTCCAAGTACTTAGTTGTCTTAAATATCTATGTTGAAAATGTATACATTTGATAGATTTATCCAGATATAAATATTCCAAATTCTTAAGACAAATACAAATAACTTCTATGTTGTTTTTAAGACTTATTAAAGTATAATTTTCACAAAGTGAAAAACATGACTTTTATACAAATACATAATGAGCATGTATCAGATTTTATTCAACTCATTAATTACTGGTTAATTAGTACAGATATACAGCCTCTGGTCAGATATAAAAATGGGAATATGGCCGGGTGTGGTGGCTCACACCTGTAATCCCAGCCCTTTGGGAGGCTGAGGCAGGCGGATTACCTGAGGTCAGGAGTTCAAGACCAGGCTGGCCAACATGGTGAAACCCTGTCTCTACTAAAATACAAAATTAGCTGGGTTTGGTGGTGCATGCCTCTAATCCCACCTACTCGGGAGGCTAAGGCAGGAGAATCACTTGAACCTGGGAGGCGAGGTTACAGTGAGCCAAGATCGTGCCATTGCACTCCAGCTTGTGCAAAAAGAGTGAAACTCCATCTCAAAAACAAACAAACAACAACAAAAAAATGGGAATATGAGTTACAGAGATTTACATACTTCACCAGACAATATTCATTTGTGTTGGTATGGACAGGAGTCACTTGCATCGCTATCAGTTTCTATTAACCTCTACCTCTACGAGTATAAAGTAGTCTAGACAGAAGAAAGTCATCAAGGGTGCATACCATAGATCAGACGATAATTTCTTGAAGGTGTAGACAATCTTATTTGCCCATTTTCAAGTGTCAGATTATTTTTTCTAACAGTCTCACTACCTTATGATTATGATCACAGAAAAGGCTGGTTTCATTATTTTTGGCCTGGCTATTTACATAGTTGCAGCAAGTATTAATTAAACATTATAGGCCTCTTTGGTTTTGACTTGCAAATCAGGAGCTATAAACTATATAGCAACTTCTAAGGTCAGAGAATAATTTCTGCCTGAAAAATATCAAGAATCTCAGACTGTACTTTTTAATTCCCCTGTTACATTTGTTCTTCTATCTTAAGGCTGTGCTCCAAACCTTAGAAATTCTCTCCACCATATTTCACCTTCACTACATATAAATATGAGTGAATTTATCTCATCTTGAGGTTTCCCAGATTTGCTAAGGTTCCTAGCCTGCTGGTAAGTGACCTTACTTTACTACCCGTGAGGCTAGGATCTTGTAAACCAGGTAGCAGCCCAGTTTTCTTGGGAGATCTTTGTGATGTTCGTGCCACATAAAGTCAGTGCTTGTTCTTTAATCTTTGTTTTGTTTGAATAAAAGAAGTCATTCTCAAATAATGGCCTTGTTTTACACAATTGGCTTATCCAGTTACATCCTAAGAAGAAAAACAAATTGCTATTGAACCCATGTAATAACTATATTGCTATAAAGAGTAAAAACATTCCATACAAGTATTTGTTTTTGAATTCTGAGGAGTCAGTGAGAATCAGATACTATTGATGGGGAGAAACCAGAGCAGAAAAGCTGAAAATTCTAAAAATCAGAGCACCTCTTCTCCTCCAAAGGAACAGAGCTCCTCGCCAGCAATGGAACAAAGCTGGATGGAGAATGACTTTGACAAGCTGACAGAACTAGGCTTCAGACGATCAGTAATAACAAACTTCTCTGAGCTAAAGGAGGATGTTCGAACCCATTGCAAAGAAGCTAAAATCCTTGAAAAAAGATTAGACGAATGGCTAATTAGAATAAACAGCGTAGAGAAGACCTTACATGACCTGATGGAGCTGAAAACCATGGCACGAGAACTACGTGACGCAAGCACAAGCTTCAGTAGCCAATTCGATCAAGTGGAAGAAAAGGTATCAGTGGTTGAAGCTCGAATGAAATGAAGCGAGAAGAGAAGTTTAGAGAAAAAAGAGTAAAAGGAAACGAACAAAGCCTCCAAGAAATATGGGACTATGTAAAAAGACCAAATCTACGTCTGATTGGTGTACCTGAAAGTGATGGGGAGAACGGAACCAAGTTGGAAAACACTCTTCAGGATATTATCCAGGAGAACTTACCCAACCTAGCAAGGCAGGCCAACATTCAAATTCAGGAAATATAGAGAATGCCACAAAGATACTCCTCGAGAAGAGCAACTCCAAGACCACATAATTGTCAGATTCACCAAAGTTGAAATGAAGGAAAAAATGTTAAGAGCAGCCAGAGAGAAAGGTCGCGTTACCCACAAAGGGAAGCCCATCAGACTAACAGCTGATCTCTTGGCAGAAACTCTACCAGCCAGAAGAGAGTGGGGGCCAATGTTCAACATTCTTAAAGAAAAGAATTTTCAACCCAGAATTTCATATCCAGCCAAACTAAGCTTCATAAGTGAAGGAGAAATAAAATACTTTACAGACAAGCAAATGCTGAGAGATTTTGTCACCACCAGGCCTGCCTTACAAGAGCTCCTGAAGGAAGCACTAAACATGGAAAGGAACAACCGGTACCAGCCACTGCAAAAACATGCCAAATTGTAAAGACCATCAAGGTTAGGAAGAAACTGCATCAACTAACAAGCGAAACAACCAGCTAACATCATAATGACAGGATCAAATTCACACATAACAATATTAACCTTAAATGTAAATGGGCTAAATGCTCCAATTAAAAGACACAGACTGGCAAACTGGATAAAGAGGCAAGACCCATCAGTGTGCTGTATTCAGGAGACCCATCTCATGTGCAGAGACACACATAGGCTCAAAATAAAGGGATGGATGAAGATCTACCAAGCAAATGGAAAACAAAAAAAAAGCAGGGGTTGCAATCCTAGTGTCTGATAAAACAGACTTTAAACCAACAAAGATCAAAAGAGACAAAGAAGGCCATTACATAATGGTAAAGGGATCAATTCAACAAGGAGAGCTAACTATCCTAAATATATATACACCCAATACAGGAGCACCCAGATTCATAAAGCAAGTCCTTAGAGACCTACAAAGAGACTTAGACTCCCACACAGTAATAATGGGAGACTTTAACACCACACTGTCAACATTAGTCAGATCAGTGAGACAGACAGTTAACAAGGATATCCAGGAATTGAACTCAGCTCTGCACCAACCGGACCTAATAGACCTCTACAGAACTCTCCACCCCAAATCAACAGAATATACATTATTTTCAGCACCACACCACACCTATTCCAAAATTGACCACATAGTTGGAAGTAAAGCACTCCTCAGCAAATGTAAAAGAACAGAAATTATAACAAACTGTCTCTCAGACCACAGTGCAATCAAACTAGAATTCAGGATTAAGAAACTCACTCAAAACCACTCAACTACATGGCAACTGAACAACCTGCTCCTGAATGACTACTGGGTACATAATGAAATGAAGGCAGAAATAAAGATGTTCTTTGAAACCAACGAGAACAAAGACACAACATACCAGAACCTCTGGGACACATTCAAAGCAGTGTGTAGAGGAAAGTTTATAGCACTAAATGCCCACAAGAGAAAGCAGGAAAGATCTAAAATTGACAACCTAACATCACAATTAAAAGAACTAGAGAAGCAAGAGCCAGCACATTCAAAAGCTAGCAGAAGGCAAGAAATAACTAAGATGAGAGCAGAACTGAAGGAAATAGAGACACAAAAAACCCTTCAAAAAATCAGGGAATCCAGAAGCTGGTTTTTTGAAAAGATCAACAAAATTGATAGACCACTAGCAAAACTAATAAAGAAGCAGAGAGAGAAGAATCAAATAGACACAATAAAAAATGATAAAGGGGATACCACCACCGATCCCACAGAAATACAAACTACCATCAGAGACTACTATAAACACCTCTATGCAAATAAACTAGAAAATCTAGAAGAAATGGATAAATTCCTGGACACTACACCCTCCCAAGACTAAACCAGGAAGAAGTTGTATCTCTGAATAGACCAATAACAGGCTCTGAAATTGAGGCGATAATTAATAGCTTACCAACCAAAAAAAGTCCAGGACCAGATGGATTCACAACCGAATTCTACCAGAGGTACAAAGAGGAGCTGGTACCATTCTTTCTGAAACTATTCCAATCAATAGAAAAAGAGGGAATCCTCCCTAACTCATTTTATGAGGCCAGCATCATCCTGATACCAAAACCTGGCAGAGACACAACAAAAAAAGAGAATTTTAGACCAATATCCCTGATGAACATCCATGCAAAAATCCTCAATAAAATACTGGCAAACCGAATCCAGCAGCACATCATAAAGCTTATCCACCATGATCAAATGGGTTTCATCCCTGGGATGCAAGGCTGGTTCAACATATGCAATCAATAAACATAATCCAGCATATAAATGGAACCAATGAGAAATAACTAAGATCAGAGCAGAACTGAAGAAAATAGAGACACAAAAAACCCTTCAAAAAATCAATGAATCCAGGAGCTGGTTTTTTGAAAAGATCAACAAAATTGATAGACCGCTAGCAAGACTAATAAAGAAGAAAAGAGAGAAGGATCAAATAGACGCAATAAAAAATGATAAAGGGAATATCACCACTGATCCCACAGAAATACAAAATACCATCAGAGACTACTATAAACACCTCTATGCAAATAAACTAGAAAATCTAGAAGAAATGGGTAAATTCCTCAACACATACACGCTCCCAAGAGGGTGAAGGACCTCTTCAAGGAGAAGTATAAGCCACTGCTCAGCGAAATAAAAGAGGACACAAACAAATGGAAGAACATTCCATACTCATGGATAGGAAGAATCAATATCATGAAAATGGCCATACTGCCCAAGGTAATTTAGATTCAGTGCCATCCCCATCAAGCTACCAATGACTTTCTTCACAGAATTGGAAAAAAACTACTTTAAAGTTCATATGGAACCAAAAATGGTTCCACATTGGCTCAAAAATGAGCCCACATTGCCAAGACAATCCTAAGCAAAAAGAACAAAGCTGGAGGCATTACACTACCTGACTTCAAACTATGCTACAAGGCTGCAGTAACCAAAACAGCATGGGACTAGTACCAAAACAGAGATATAGACCAATGGAACAGAGCAGAGCCCTCAGAAATAATACCACACATCTACAGTCATCTGATCTTTGACAAACCTGACAAAAACAAGAAATGGGGAAAGGATTCCCTATTTAATAAATGGTGCTGGGAAAACTGGCTAGCCATATGTAGAAAGCTGAAACTGGATCCGTTCCTTACACCTTCTACAAAAATTATTTCAAGATGGATTAAAGACTTAAATGTTAGACCTAAAACCCATAAAAACCCTAGAAGAAAACCTAGGCAATACCATTCAGGCCATAGGCATGGGCAAGAACTTCATGACTAAAACACCAACAGCAATGGCAACAAAAGTCAAAATTGATAAATGGTATCTAATTAAACTAGAGAGCTTCCACACAGCAAAAGAAACTACAATCAGAGTGA
Organism: Homo sapiens; assembly: GCF_000001405.40. NCBI lineage: Eukaryota > Metazoa > Chordata > Mammalia > Primates > Hominidae > Homo > Homo sapiens. The sequence goes on along the minus strand of NC_000001.11, from coordinate 51,475,635 downwards.
ACAGGCAACCTACAGGATGGGAGAAAATTTTTACAATCTACCCATCTGACAAAGGGCTAATATCCAGAATCTACAAAGAACTTAGACAAATTTACCAGAAGAAATCAAACAACCCCATCAAAAAGTAGGCGAAGGATATGAACAGACACTTCTCAAAAGAAGATATTTATGCAGCCAACAGGCACGTGAAAAAATGCTTGTCATCACTGGTCATCAGAGAAATGCAAATAAAACCCACAGTGAGATACCATCTCACACCAGTTAGAATGGCGATCATTAAAAAGTCAGGAAACAGATGTTAGAGAGGATGTGGAGAAATAGGAACACTTTTACACTGTTGATGGGAGTGTAAACTAATTCAACCATTGTGGAAGACAGTGTGGCGATTCCTCAAGGATCTAGAACTAGAAATACCATTTGACCCAGCCGTCCCATTACTGAGTATATACCCAAAGGATTATAAATCATGCTGCTATAAAGACACATGCACACATATGTTTATTGCGGCACTATTCACAGTAGCAAAGACTTGGAACCAACCCAAATGTCCATCAATGATAGACTGGATTAAGAAAATGTGGCACTTATACAACATGGAATACTATGCAGCCATAAAGAAGGATGAGTTCATGTCCTTTGTAGGGATGTGGATGAAGCTGGAAACCATCATTCTGAGCAAACTATCGCAAGGACAAAAAACCAAACACCGCATGTTCTCACTCATAGGTGGGAATTGAACAATGAAAACACTTGGACACAGGGTGGGGAACATCACACACCGTGGCCTTTTGTGGGTTGGGGGGAGGGGGGAGGGATAGCATTAGGAGATATACCTAATGTAAATGACGAGTTAATGGGTGCAGCACACCAGCATGGCACATGTATACATATGTAACAAACCTGCATGTTGTGCACATGTACCCTAGAACTTAAAGTATAATAATAATAATAATAAAAAAAGAAAACTATTTCATTTGGTTTACAAAAGCAGAGGCTACTAAGTTGAGGGTCTCAGAAAGGGCTTATGCACATAGCTATTAGAAAATAGAACATTAAAATAATACCAACAGTATTCCAAGTAAATAACTATAATTAAATTTTCCTCAACAGTTCATTCAGTCCTGTGTAATTCTTGTTCAGCTGAATCTCGGATTAGAAGTCTGCTTTTATGAAGTACATCTTCTTTCAGACTGAAAAGAGTCCTGGAAATCCTGACTTCATCTACCAATATGGTCTGAAAGTAGTGTGATGTCAGCTGAGTAGTCTTTATCCAAAAATCCACTTTTTGAAATGTTAATAATTCAGACTATGTATGTCTTATAGATACAGACTATATCAAAAGTATAGTCATTTTCATGAGGCTCTAAGACTCTTTGTTGAAGATATATCAGCTTCTGGCCTATAGCTTCTGGCTTTGCCTATGGCAGAGCCTTTAGGCAAGCAGCAGAATACCTCAGAAACTGCCTGTAGATGACAAAGACTAAATGTTTATATTATTAGGGTAACCAAAAGAATGGAAGATAGTAAAATTCTTAATTGGGATACAGTACATAATGATTTCATAAGAGTTTGATCAATGTTTCCCCTGAATGCTTCTATATTTAGTAGGCTGTGTTGGGTATGGATATTTGTTTTGTATGCTGATCAGGAAGTAGGCAAAGAAAAGGAGTTCTGAAGAATTCTACAGGCAGGTTTCCCAATCCTTATACTTCCTCTTATTCCAAATTTGAAGGATTAGGCCATGTTTTTCTTTTTTGCTGAGTGCATGATTTTTCCCATGTTGTACCACTTGAAAGAAAGGTTTTCCCTTTTGCTTCTTTGCTAGGATTGGACTGTCTAGAATGCTTTGTACAGTATATGTTTACAGTAAACTTAATCTTTTAACTAAACTGGAAAAACAGATATCTCACAAATATACTATTATCCTGTTACCTTTCCCATGACTTTTTAAAATGTACTTTTCATTTTTACAAATGGAACTTTAGGAAATCTTTACAAAAATGAGTCTTTTTTTTCCTGTTTTTGTTGTTGTTGTTGTTTGTTTGTTTGTTTGTTTCTGTTCTTGTGACCTCATTCTGTCTTAAAGGAAAGTCCCTGGTCAGTTAAAATGGTATGTTCCCTAATATGTTTTAGGAACTTAACAGCTTTAAAAAGGTTTCTTCAAGTTTATTTTGGAATCACTGCTGGTTTTAGAGCTGCTATTGCTTTGATTTGTTTTAAAGTGCTGCAGTTCCTAAGAGTAGGTATAAAAGTGAAAGTTGATGATTGAAAGATGTTTGAAGAGGCACATAACATGTGCAACTATTCCCATTTGTCAGAAGACCTCTGTAGGAAATGCTGCTCCTTTCTTCCTAGTGCCATTTAATTGGAATTTAAATGACAGCTATAGAAGATATGTGTTGATGTTACAACCCCACGAATTTGCTTTGACAATCCTCTGAGCTTCACTTTTCTCATTTGTATGGTAGGGCATGATAAAACAAAAACCACTTTGTAAATTGCCAGTGCTGTCTAGATAGTACTACTCATATGTCTGTCCACATATTCTTTGGCCCATGGTAGTCAAAGGATTCTCATTCCTTTCTTGCAAAAGCCAGGTCCCAAATCACAGGGATGGAAGGCAGGTAAATGGTGATAATTTTGCCTTTTGTATTTTGTTGTCAACTTACGGATTTGTATCTTTTCAGGTTGATACAGGCAATACTGGAAGGGTGTTGGCTTCTGATGCTGCTGCTTTCCTGAAAAAATCAGGGCTTCCAGACTTGATACTTGGAAAGGTAGTATTCGTTCATTATAACTAGATTATAAGTTTGTAAGGAATGTGTACTATAGATGAACTGGATGCAAATTTAGAAAGATGCCATCAAGAAATTTAGAAGTTAGAACCGAGTCATAGAAGCCATTTTAATAGTAGGATGAAGGGAATTTGTAGCGTAGTGATTTACCCTCTTGAAAAGTAAGGTGTTTTTCAGATTTTTAGAAACAAACTACTTTTTAATAGGATAAAATGAGGAAGTAATAAGTACATTTGGTGGGGAGAAACAGTGAAGACTGGGAATCTTGCCACACACTCAAAGACTTGGCTCTATCCCTACTTCCTCTGTTATAACTGTCTCTGTTTAATGTGTGGTAAATAGACTGGGGGATGAGAGGCTTTTTAAAAAGAGCACAAAGAGGTGGAAAGCCCCTCCCCTGTCTACTCCTTATATGTGATATTGATATATATTCAGAATCCTGAAAAATAATCACAATAATTTAATTATTCACAAATATCAATCATCTCAACTTGCACATAGAAAAGAATATCTTAAGGATCCAAAATCAAGAATAGTATGTACATTCTAGTAGAAAGAGCATTGGTCTCAGAGTTAGAACTTGGATTAATGAAAAAGGCATGTGACTGGAAGTTAGAACTTAGGCTTCACTTCTTTCCCTGGTGCCTTGAATGTTCTTGAGCTAAGTCACTTACCCTCATTGGGCCTTAGTATCTTTGTGAAGGGTTGCACTAAATCAGGGGTGCCCAATCTTTTGGCTTCCGTGGGCCACATTGAAAGAAGAAGAATTGTCTTGGGCCACACATAAAATACATTAACACTAATGATAGCTGATGATCAAAAAAAAAAAAAATCATAAAAGAACCCTCATAATTTCTTAAAGAAAGTTTATGGATTTGTGTTGGGCCACGTGCAAAGCTGTCCTGGGCTGCATGTGGCCTGTGGGCTGCAAGTTGGACAAGTTTGCACTAAATGATCTTTAAGGGTTCTTTCCACTCTTAATTCTATGATTCTTAGATCTGATTACCAGAGAGCCTGAGGTTGTAAATAGCAGAGATTTAATTTATCATTCAGATGACTTTTGTTTAAAATATACATTGATATTTTTTCCCCCTAAATTTCAGATTTGGGATTTAGCCGACACAGATGGCAAAGGTATCCTGAACAAACAAGTAAGTTTCAGATATTCATATGATTTTTTTTTTGAGTGATTCAAAATAAAAAATAGCCAGCAGGGTTTTCTTGTATTTTGAAGCCAAGAATTGGTTTTTACCAACATTAGAGTTTTGCCTAGGGCAAGTGTGTAACAAAGTATTTCCAATCACTAGATGTTAATATAAGTCTTAACAGTTAGTGTGAGTTTGGTGACATTGTTCTCCTGGAGTTTATTTTTCTGTCTTTCAGAGAGACTTTGCTCTTTAATTAATTTTCCTAGTTACATAGGGTTATAAGTAAAAGTGAATGTTATTAAGTAAGTGTTAAGATGGTATTGTCTAGTAGATTTGAAGATTTGAAAGGAAACTCTTGGTTAATCACATGTGAGATGTGAGTATTCTGGTCTAGATCTTACTCCTGATATATAAACCAAAAAATGATTTATAAACCAGAAGTAAATTCTTGACCAGAATACATAAAAGTGGTTATGGCCAAGGGTGTTGAACACCATCAGTGTACTCTGAAGTTCTGATTGTTGGGGATGGATTTCAGAGTTGTATAAGGATTGAATTCCAAGTTTGCTGAGTGCCACTACTCAAAGTTAGGCTTCCTCCCCACCCCCGGCATAGCTGAAGCAGGATCAAAGCCAGATATTGGAGAAATTTGATGAGAGGGTCAGAATATCCAGTCTTTTAATTAAGATTTCGGGGCTAGATTGTAGTCCCTGTTCATGTCTCTGGGTAGAAGGGCTACTTTGGTGTATTGGAGGTATAGGAAAACAAAATTCATAGGGGCCCACCTAGGTGCCATGTAGTCAGTCAGCAAATATTTGTTGAGTACCTATGATGAGCCAGGCTTTAGAAATACAGAGGTTAACATGATAGATGTGGTCACTGTCTTAAGGTTTTACAGTATAATAAATTTTTTACTTATAATTGTTTGATTTTGGATATTGAGTTTGAGTTGCCTTAGTACTTCCAGGTGGCTGGATTTATGAGTCTGCAGTTAAACTTTGAAGTTCCTTTGGAAGCATAGATTTTTTTTTTTTTTTTTTTTTTTTGAGACAGAGCCCTGATCTGTTACCCAGGCTGGAGTACAGTGGCGTGATCTTGGCTCACTGCAACCTCTGCCTCCGGGATTCAAGCAATTCTCCCATCTCAGCCTCTGGAGTAGCTGGGATTACAGGCATATGCCTCCGCACCTGGCTAGTTTTTTTGTATTTTTAGTAGAGATGGGGTTTCACTATATTGGCCAGGCTGGTCTTGAACTCCTGACCTCGAGTGATCCACCCACCTCGGCCTCCCAAAGTGCTGGGATTACAGGCGTGAGCCACCGTGCCTGGCCCAGATTTTTAAGTTAGCATATGAATGAAAGAAAAGAAACCAATACTTAATGAATTTCCATGTGACAAAAATGACAGTAGGCACTTTCCTCCTGCAGCATGGTTTTTATTTTGTTGCTCATAATACATTGCAAGGTAGGTATTAGCCCCCCTATTATGGAAGGGTTTTAACTTGCCCTTGGCCTCACAACTATAAGTAGCAGAAATAGAATTTAATGCAGAATTATTTCACTTCATAGCCCATCCATACTGTGGTAATAGACTTGATTACCTAAGAGTAATTGAATCTCAAATAGAGTGAGAAAAGAAAGAGGGTCATGTTAGAATACTTAGAATACTAGCAGTTAGGGAAGACATTGACTCCAACAGAAGAGACCTAAAAGGTCAGAAGAGAACTAGGAGGGTTTTGTGAAGCTGTTTGGTGGAGGAGAGCTTCCAGGAAGATACTTTCCCAGGCTGCAAAAAGAATAAGCAGTATGAGGCTTTTTTTTTTTTAAGGCTATTCTATTTGGTAGCTAGGAGATTATCTGTGACATAGGCGGTAGTTTTTCTAGCTAATCATGGGAGTTGAAGTCACATTGCACAGAAGGTTGTGGAATGAATGAGAAGAAAATGGGATATCTTGAAATAGCATTTTTTCAAGAAATGAGTGAAGGCAAGGGATTGTATAAAGCAGACAGTCTGCAAGGTGATAAGAATGGGTTATGAATTGGGTATGAAGGGTATGGGGGAGAGTACGGGATTTCAGAGAAGTAGTGAAGGGTTGATTACATCAGCGACTATACTAGGGTATTGACAGGTTGGACAAATTGTAGCTGGAGTAAAGGCTTTTGTTATCATGTCTATGACACTAACTCAAAACAGCTGAAAACCAGTTGCTTCAGCTTCTTTGCATTTATTTATTAAGTTTTGGACTAAGACTTCAACTGCTAAAAATCCAAGGACTTTTGGGAGAGATTTATAATTATTTTGAAGTTAAACCGTTACATAATTTTTTTTGATGTTGCACAGTTATTTTCTGTAGTTTTTCTGGAATTGCAGTCATTAAGTCATTTGAATTACTGTTCCAGTTTCAAAATTTATAATCTCACAATCCAGAGATGACTTTTCATAACATTTTAGGTATTATTTTCTTTTGGGATTTTTCTCTAATTCTTTTTTTCTCATTTAAATGATAAAATACATCTCTTAATATCATTAAATATTATTTGTTTTTTTTTGGTTTGTCTGTTTTTTTGAGACAGTCTCGCTCTGTCACCCAGGCTAGAGCGCAGTAGCCCGATCTCGGCTCACTGCAACCTCTGCCTTCCATGTTCAAGTGATTCTGCTGCCTCAGCCTCCTGAGTAGTTGGGACTACAGGTGCACGCCACCACACCTGGCTAATTTTTGTGTTTTTAGTAGAGAGACGGGGTTTCTCCGTGTTGGCCAGGTTGGTCTCATACTCCTGACCTCAAGTGATCTGCCCGTCTCGGCCTCCCAAAATGTTGAGCTTACAGGTGTGAGCCACTGTGCCTGGCCCTAAGTATTATTTTAAACATGAGTATTCTGTATGATTTCCACTATCTGTATGTATTTTCCCATTTATGTTATTATTAGCGATTCATAAATACTAGGAACATCTTTCTACATAGGATTTTTCTGCAAGATATTTTTGAAGCAAATATGCTACTTGTTGCTACATAAGACCTCTGTAGTAATTATGAATTGTTTTATATTTTTAGATTGTAAGTATTTGTGCAGGTAGGTAAGTTGGTAGAGGGAGAATGCTCTTAACATTCATACTTTTCTTTCTTAGGAATTCTTTGTTGCTTTGCGTCTTGTGGCATGTGCCCAGAATGGATTGGAAGTTTCACTAAGTAGTTTGAACCTGGCTGTTCCTCCACCAAGATTTGTAAGAAATGCTTTTAGATTTAAATTGTATTTAATTTTTAAAAAGTGACACCACGTTATTTGAAAATTAAAAGTAATATATTAAAAGGAATTCTCCCTTTGGCCCTTTCACTCAGCTACTTGGCTTTTTTCCCCCTACTGGCTCCTGCTGTTTTTAGTTAATTTCTTGTGTATCCTTCCAGAGTGATTATATATGTATATGTGAGAAACTATAGGCTGGGTGAGGTTGCTCACGCCTGTAATCCCAACACTTTGGGAGGCAGAAGTGGGAGGATCATTTGAACCCAGGAGTTCAAGACTGGCTGGGAAACAAAGCGAGACCCCCATCTCTACAAAAAAATCTAAAATTTAGCCGAGTGTGTTGGTGTGCACGTCTGGTCCCAGCTACTTGGGAGGCTGAGATGGGAGGATCATTTGAGCCTGGGAGCTCAAGGCTGCAATGAGCCGTGATCACACCGTTGCTCTCCAGCTTGGTTGATGGTTTAAGACCCTGTCTTAAAAAAATATATATATATAAATACTTATTTTCTTATTTTACTTTAATTGTAGCATGCTATATATTAACGGTCCCCAACCTTTTTGGCACCAGGGACCGGTTTCATGGAAGACAATTTTTCCATGGACCTGGGAGGGATGGATGGTTTCAGAACGAAACTGTTCCACATCATCAGGCATTAGATTCTTATAAGTAGCATGCAACCTAGATCCCTCACATGCGCAGTTCATGATAGGGTTCGTGCTCCCATGAGAATCTAATGCCACCGCTGATCTGGCAAAAGTTGGAGCTCAGGCCATAATGCTTGCCTGCCAGCTGCTCACCTCCTGCTATACAGCTCAGTTCCTAACAGGCCATGGATGGGTACCAGTTTGTGGCCCAGGGATTGGGGACTCCTGCTATGCACATAATTCTATACCTTTTATAAGTAGCTTATTAAGTTTTAGAGGTATTTATATATCATTACATAGAAGCTTCCACTTTGTTTTTTATAGCTGTGTAGTATTTCTTTGCTTATGTTTATGATAATTAACTTTCTATTGATAGGCTTTTAGTTTATTTTGAATCTTTCATTATTAAAAAAATGCTGCAATGAATAATAAACTTGGACATATGTTATTTTGCATGTGCAGGAATGTATTTATATGTGTTAATTTCCAAAAGTAGAAATGCTGTTCAAAAGTTTTTGCCTTTGTAATTTCTATGTATTTTGTCAACTTGCTTTCCATAGTGGTTGTACTAGTTCACCCTCCCTCCAGCAATTGTTTGAGTGCCTGTTTCTGTACACTTTGGCTAGCATACTTTGGTTAAACTTTTAGATCTTTGCGGTTTGATAGGTGACAGTATGTAATTTTAAATTTATCCTTTTGGTTTTATGGAGTGAGGTTGAATAGCTTTTCTTGTGCTAATAAGAATAGCTTTCTTATAAGCTTTTCTTATGTTTACATTGCCTTTATGTGAATGTCTGTTTATAGCTTTTGCCCATTTTTCTTGGTTGTTGCTCTTTTACTTATTGAATTCTAGGGCCTCTTTAATTATTAGGACATTAACTCTTTGTCTGTATGAGTTGCAAGTCTTTTTTTCCTATTTTGTCATTTGTCTTATTTTTTTTGAAGAGACAGAATCTTGCTATGTTGCCAAGGCTAGCCTTGAATTCCTGGGCACAAGTGATACTTCTGCCTTAGCCTCCCAAATAGCTGGGACAATTGGCATGTACTACTGAGCCTGGCTTATTATTGTCTTTTGTGTAAATAAATTGTCAGGTTAAATTTTTTTTAATTTTTTACATTTAAGTTAGTATTGATCTAGGATGTGAGTACAGATTTTATTTTTATTTATTTATTTATTTTTTTTTGAGAGGGAGTTTCGCTCTTGTCAACCAGGCTGGAGTGTAGTGGTGCAATCTCAGCTCTCTGCAACCTCCACCCCCTAGGTTCAAGTGATTCTCCTGCCTTAGCCTCCTGAGTAGCTGGGATTACAGGCACCCACCACCACACCCGGCTAAATTTTTTTTTTGGTGGTAGAGATGGTTTTTCACCATGTTGGCCAGGCTGGTCTCGAACTCCTGACCTCAGGTGATCTGCCCACCTTGACCTCCCAAAGTTCTGGGATTACAGACGTGAGCCACCACACCTAGCCTAGATTCAACTTTATATTTTTTCAAGATGGCTACCCTACAGAAAGTATAGTCAATACAGTTTATTAAATAATCCATCCTTCACTTCCTGTCTCTTCATTCCCTTTGAAATGCCATCTCAGTTGTGTGCTAAATTCTCATATGTATTTTGATTGCTTACTCGATTTTTTTTGTTCTTACCTATTGATCTATTTATCCATACCATATGCTGATGTTACATTGTTTTAATTATCATATTTGGTGACATGTTTTTTAAATCTAGTATGCTAGTCCTCCCCACCTCACTCCTTTTTTTCCCCAGATATTTTATGGCTCCTCTTGTTTTTTGTTTTTTTAAATTTTAAGAGATGGCCTCATTCTGTTTCCCAGGTTGGAATACAGTGCTGCGATCATAGCTCACTGTCACCTTGAACTGGGCTCAAGTGATCCTCCCCAGTAACTAGTTGCTTGTTTTTAAACTCAACATTTTAGAAGTTTTTGGTCTGCATACTAATAATTTAATTTCTTAAGTTTAGAGAATTTCTGCACTTTTATGTTTAGGCATGTAGTCAGAAGGTTAATTTAGGGATTTGTTGCCTACGTGCATTACAGTCATGCATTGCTTAACATGGTGAAATCCCATCTCAACTAAAAATACAAAAATTAGCTGGGTGTGGTGGTGCATTCCTGTAATCCCAGCTACTCGGAGGCTGAGGCAGGAGAATCGCTTGAACCCAGGAGATGGAGGTTGCAGTGAGCCGAAATCATGCCACTGCACTCCAGCCTGGGCGACAGAGCAAGACTCCATCTCAAAAACAAAATAAAACAAAAACCAGAAAAGGTACAGTAAAAATATGGTATTATAATCACTTTGTTTCATTGTTATTTAGATGGTCTAGTAAATGTAAAATAGTGTCCTGTGTGCATTGAGATCCAGCATTTTGTGTGAACATATTTAAATCCAAAAACCATTTTTTCTTCATTGCTTCTTGATGTGAGAATTTCAACTCTTGTTGTGCTTTACTTTCTTCTATAGCATGATACCAGTAGTCCTTTGCTAATCAGTGGAACCTCTGCAGCTGAGCTCCCATGGGCTGTAAAAGTAAGTAAACTTTGTAACTATTCTCTCACCCCTTCATTGCTTCCTATCTACTCTCTCTCTACCTCTGAAATATATTGCTATCTTCATTAGACTTTCATACATGTTTAGGGAAAGGTAGGGGAGAAGCTGTTACTGGTGTTTCTGAGGGATCTTTCGGCTCTGTCAGTTGTTTTGTGACAGTATCGGTCTACTTGTATATCTGTTATAATGTAAAGAAAAATGGTGATGTCATAATCTTGTATTAACTAAAATATTTGATTAAAAGATAGTTTACCCCACTGGTGTTATCTCTTACTTGAAAATTCTGGTTAACTATGTATTTTCTAGATGACTCTAAAACAAACAATTCTTTATGAAATCTTTTTAGAAATAGGTATTTTGCATTATAGTTTTTCAGAGCCACATCATATCGTACTATAAAACTTGTAATTTAAAAATGCTTAGACTATAGCAGATCAAATGAGCTTTGATAAATGTGTACAGTTTTTTTGAAAACCATTTTTATTTGTATGTCTTTGTATGCTGTGGACTGGGCACTAAGTTTTAAAAGTGTGGGAATATGGCCTTGACTGGGCAAATAATGAACAATAGTTTTTCATGTTACACTAATAACTTTTAAAAATTTAGGAGATATCTTGTTATTGACAAGAAAAAGAAATATTGCTTTGGGAAAAATGGAGAAATCTTGATGTTTATTCCTTTAGTAATTATTTTATTTTTAAAAATTTATTTGTGGCTCATGCCTGTAATCCCAGCACTTTGGGAGGGTGAGGCGGGCAGATCATGAGGTCAGGAGTTCGAGACCAGCCTGGCCAACATAGTGAAACCCCGTGTCTACTAAAAGTACAAGAAAATTAGCTGGGTGTGGTGGCAGGCGCCTATAATCCCAGCTACTCGGGAGGCTGAGGCAGGAGAATCGCTTGAACCCGGGAGGTGGAGGCTACAGTGAGCTGAGATTGTGCCACTGCACTCCAGCCTGGGCGACAGTGCAAGACTCCGTCTCAAAAAAAAAAAAAAATTTTATTTATTTGAACTGCACCTCATACCATCTTTAGAGAGTCATGGAATGTCACTAATTAGCTGTGTGTTCTTATAAAAGTTACTTTTTTGCTCTGGGTCTATTTAAGTGAGAGGGTTGGACTAGATGTTCTTCAAAGCCCTTCTACCTCTGAAATATTTTGATTCTAACCCAATAGTTGGAAAATAAAGATGGTGTTCCAGCTACAAAAAGAATGGGCAACACCAGACTCTTGGGTAAAGTCACTTTGAAATTATTATTTCCTATGTATTTTTTTCTTGCGTATCTTTACAATGAATATTATATTTTGATGAAAGTGAAAAATGTTTTTTAAATGATAGTTTAAAAACATATGTAGTCTATTCTTTAAGGACTTGATTTTTATAACTGCAGTTAAATCCTTTTCTCTTATTATTTAACTTGTGATTTTGTTTTTTATTGTAGCCTGAAGATAAGGCCAAATATGATGCAATATTTGATAGTTTAAGCCCAGTGAATGGATTTCTGTCTGGTGATAAAGTGAAACCAGTGTTGCTCAACTCTAAGTTACCTGTGGATATCCTTGGAAGAGTAAGATATTATTTACTCCGAAATGTAATTTTTATGTATTTTAATTTTATATCTATTATGCCAGGAGCATGTATAACTCTTTGTTAAAAATATACAAATCTTATTTTAAAGTTGTATCATTATAGGATTTTTTGTTTTCTGACTTAATGTATAAAATTATTGCCAGCATATTTCTGTATTTGGTTATTCCCTGTAAAAATGAGTGGTTGAAATGAATTACATATGTAAGCCCCTTAAGTAGGTCCTTTTTTAGTTTGTGCTGTACACTCTTGACCTCCTATTTGCTTGAGTTAATTTCTAGAGACCATCAGTATTTTATGTCTGCCACTTACTCTGTGGCTGTATCATGGTGTCTTGTTGTAAGGAATAGTTTTATCTCTGAAATCATAAATTCTTCTCTCTAACTTGTACTTCCTGTCTTTATAGAGCTCTTTTCCAGAAACTAGCAAGACTAATTCTTTGACTGGTTTTACTAAGACCTTTAAATCTGACTTCTTGGCTGGGCATGGTGGCTCACACCTATAATCCCAGCACTTTCGGAGGCTGAGGCGGGTGGATCACGAGGTCAGGAGTTCGAGACCAGCCTGGCCAATATGGTGAAACCCCATCTCTACTAAAAATACAAAAATTAGCCGGGCGTGGTGGTGCGCAGTCTGTGGTCCCAGCTACTCAGGAGGCTGAGGCAGAAGAATCGCGTGAACCCAGGAGGCAGTGGTTGCAGTGAGCCGAGATCGCACCACTACACTCCAGCCTGGGCGACAAGCAAGACTGTCTTAGAAAAAAAAAAAAAAAAAAAAAAAAATCTGACTTTTTTACTTTTCCTCTTTTTTTCAATTTTTTTACTGTGATAAATATGCATATCATGAAATTTAACATCTTAACCAATTTTAAGTGTACAATTCAGTGGTATTAACTACATTTACATTATTATGCAACTATCCCCAATATCCATCGCCATGAATTCTTTTCCTCCTGTAAAAGTAAAACTTTATTCCCTGTCTTTTGGTCTACAGCTTCATATCTATCCTTAGCCCCCTTTGCCATGTTATTTTTCTATCTCTCCTGCCTGATGGAAAAAACATGAAGTAAATTATCTGCCTTCTCTGTGGTGCATGTGGACTACTGAGCAGGTGTAGTAAGATTGCTGTCACTTTAAATTTATCATCACCAGCTTCAGCTGGGCTTCTCCGTACTGCCAGTCACTCTTGTGCTGTTTCCATAGTGATTTCTCCATAATCCTCTTCATATTTCAAATCTTAACTACTCTCTTTAAACCTCTTGCCCTTTCTTTTTTTTTTTTTCTTTTTTTGAGATGGATTTTAGCATTTGTTACCCAGGCTGGAGTGCAATGGCGCAATCTTGGCTCACCACAACCTCTGCCTCCCGGGTTCAAGCAATTCTCCTGCCTCAGTCTCCTGAGTGGCTGGGATTACAGGCGTGTGCCACCACGCCCAGCTGATTTTTATATTTTTAGTAGAGATGGGGTTTCTCCATGTTGTTCAGGCTGGTCTTGAACTCCTGACCTCAGGTGATCCACCTGCTTCAGCCTCCCAAAGTGTTGAGATTACAGCGTGAGCCACCAGCACCCGGCTGCCCTTTCTTTAATTACCTGCTTCAGCAGATTACATAGGGTCAAATCCTGGCTGCACCACTTCTTAGCTGTGTGACCTTGGGCAAGTCATTAGAAAGCCATGTCTCAGTTTTCTAATCTTTAAAAGGGACATAATTCCCAGCTTATAGAATTGTAGTGATTGAATGTGATAATGAATGTTAAGTCCTGCTTATTACCATGATTGCTACATACTCTTTGAATGCTAGCTGCTATGATGATGACAACCACCATACCACCATATTATTACTACTACTGGATCAATGTTATATAGATTTTAGATGCTCAATAAATATTTATTTAAATGCCATTTTTTAGTATTGTTTCCCACTAATTATTTCTCCCCTGTGTGATCAGTGTGAAATTTCTAAACTATAAATACACTGTTGTTATTTTATTACTTAAACCTAACTTTTTAGTAGCTTTCCATTGCACTTAGAATAAAGCCCAAACTCCTTTCAAGGCAATTATAACCAGACACTTGCTTATCTCCATTTTTAACTCTCAACAGTACACTTTTTTTTTTTTTTTTTTTTTTTTTTAAGAAACAGTGTCTAGCTCCGTTGCCCAGGCTGGAGTGCAGTGGCATATCATAGTGCACTGCAGCCTTGATCTCCTAGGCTTAAGGGATCCTCCTACCTCAGCCTCCTGAGTAGCTTGGCCTACAGGTGGATGCCACCATGCCCAGCTAATTTTTTATTTTTATCTTTTGTAGAGATGGGATCTCGTTATGTTTCCTAGGCTGTCTCAAACTCCTGGGCTGAAGTGATCCTCCTGCCTTGGCCTCTCAAAGTGCTGGGAGGCCATATGGGCATGAGCCACCATTCCTAGCTCATAAACTTTCTTTTCTTGCCCTCGAGTAGAACATGAACTGAAAGAACATTAATCTTTTTTCAATTATTCTCTTTTTAAGGTTTGGGAGTTGAGTGATATTGACCATGATGGAATGCTTGACAGAGATGAGTTTGCAGTTGTAAGTAATCTAATGTTCTTAACATCTTCATTATCTTAATGATTTTCTCATGTGCAAATTTCCTCTTTTAGTTCATCCTTAGAGGAAAACTATATTCTCATCAGATTATTGGGTGAACTTTTTTTTTTTTTCTTTTTGAGACAGAGTCTCACTCTGTCACCCAGGCTGGAGTGCAGTGGCACAATCTTGGCTCACCACAACCTCTACCTCCCAGGTTCAAGTAATTCTCGTGCCTCAGCCTCCCAAGTATCTGGGATTGCAGGCACATGCCACCACGCCCAGCTAATTTTGGTATCTTTTGAAGAGATGGGGTTTTGCCGTGTTGGCTAGGCTGGTCTTGAACTCCTGACCTCAAGTGATCTGCCCACCTCAGCCTCCCAAAGTGCTGGGATTACAGGCATGAACCACTGTGCCCGGCTGGTTGAACATTCTTATATAGAATTTATATTTATTTTCTAAACAAATGGATAACAGAAAATGTGTGTTCTGCCATCTTCATTTTATTTGGCTTTAAGGTACATAGGAACGTATACTTTGTATAATTACTGTAAAGATAGTATCTTTTGTATCACAACCTGACCAGGTATCTTAGTACCTGCTTCTAATATGGAATAATTTTGCTTCAAATGTATCTCCCAAATTTCACATTTCCTTTTATTTCATTTAAAGGAAACATGAATAACACTTGAGTTTCACTTCATTTATGAAGGCAGAAAAGTTTTGACATTTTATCTGAAGACATGTCATCTTAGTAATTGAATAGTTAATTCCAAATATGGTTGTATTCACCTCTTCCTTAAAGGTTTGATAAAACTTTGCTGTGAATTCATCAGTGGTAAATTTCTAATTTCCCTTTTACTCTCAGATTTTCTCTTTTTATTTTGGTAAGGAATTACTAATTTCTTTTACTTTCAAACTTGTTGCTACAAATTTGTGATACTCTCTTTCGTGGTTGTTCTCTTTACTCACTCCAAGTCTTGGGAGTACTCCCACTTGTATTTTTACTTAATCTGATTTTGTCTAGTTTATTGATCTGTTAGAAGAACCATCTTTTGAATTTACTTATCCTTTCTATTATATTTTGACTTTTAATTTAATGATGTTTAACATTTAATTCCCTGTTACATTTTCTTATTCTTTTTATTTTAAATTTCTCGGAGATGAGTATTATGTTTCTTCAGTTCTCTTTATCTTTAATATTGAAATCATTTAAAGGATATATTCACCCTTGAATACAGGTTTAGTGGGATTCCATAGATATTGGTACAAAGTTTTCTCCTTTATACAGCTTTTTAGATAATTTTTAGTTTTATTATCTGGTTAGGAATATGTTTCCTAATTTTAAAGTGGTTAAGTTTGGTTGGTTTTTGTTACTTTGATGTATACTTTCAACCTGATTGGATTATAACTAGAAAAATATAGTCTATAAAATGTCTAATTAAAAAAATTAGTTAAGGCTTTCTTTGTTGCCAAGTTTATGACCTGCTTTTACATATATTCCATGGATATGGCAGTATTTCTGTTTGGAGGATATTAGAGTTTTATAAATTCATTATATCAAATTTATTTTATTTTATTTTATTATTTTTATTTTTGAGACAGAGTCTTGCTCTGTTGCCCAGTATGGAGTGCAGTGGCGCAATCTTGGCTCACTGCAACCACCGCCTCCCAAGTTCGACGATTCTCCCGCCTCAGCCTCACAAGTAGCTGGGATTACAGAAGTGCACCACCACATCTGGCTAACTTTTGTATTTTTAGTAGAGACAGGGTTTCACCATGTTGGCCAGGCTGCTCTTGAACTCCTGACCTCAGGTGATCCTCCCGCCTCAGCCTCCCAAAGTGCTGGGATTACAGGCGTGAGCCACTGCACCCAGCCTCAAATGTATTGATTATTTAGTTTCTCTTTGTCCTTATTTTTCTTTTGTTTTTGGCCCTTCCTTAGATTTTCCTCATTTTCCACAAGAGCCAGATGAAATAGGCAGAATACATATTACCACATTTTAAAAATGCAGAAAGAGAAACTTAAAGTGACTTGAATTCTTGTTCACAGGTACCTAATCTTTTTAATTTTAATTTGAATAATAGTTGGGAAATGGTAAAGGATACTCCCTCGCGGTGGTGACAAAAGTTATCTCAGTCGCATTTCAGGGGTTGAGCCATTGTTTGTGGGATGCTTTTGGGAATGGGGCCGTGCTGAAGAGATTTCGGTGATGATATACTTTGAAACATCGTCAAACCCTACACATAAACTTCTCATAAATGGTTTTTGTGGTAAGAATATTGGTGCAAAATCTTTGCATGGTACGATGTAATGAGGGATTTTTTTTCTCATAAAGACAAATTTTTTTTTTTTTTAGACGGAGTCTCACTCTGTCACTCAGGCTGGAGTGCAGTGGCGGGATCTCAGCTCACTGCAGCCTCGGCCTCCTGGATTCAAGTTATTCTTCCACCTCAGCCTCCTGAGGAGCTGGGATTACAGGCATGCACCACCACCCCCGGCTAATTTTTATATTTTTAGTAGAGACAGCGTTTCGCCGTGTTTGCCAGACTGGTCTCGAGCTCCTGATAATAGGTGATCCACTCGCCTCGGCCTCCCAAAGTGCCGGGATTACAGGCATGAGCCACCTCTTCAGGCCCAAGACAAAAATATAGTTAGAGTAGATGGGGAATAGTAGTGTCATCATTTGATAAACAGTAGTGCATGCTAAGGTAAATGAATAAACACAATTTATCTTATATGCCTGGAGCCTATTCCCAGGTAACTGGCCTTTTTTTTTTTTAATAAAAAGCTTTATTAAAAATAATTTTTGAATAATAAATACATTTGTAGGAAATTACTACCTTGAATTTTGTTTTAAATAGTAGACACCCCTTTATCTTCTCCTAGATTTACTTGTTAACCATTTTGTCACATTTGCTTTCTCCCTGTATCCATATTCTTCAGAATTTTTTCCTAGTTTTAAACTCTAGCTTGTGTGATTTTAATACTGCTTCTCCTGTTCCCTCTTTTTTTGAATTACCTGATATTTCTTATGTTTGTTGTGTATGTCTCTTGAAAATGGCAGATTTCTGTATTTTAATGCTTTACCTAATTGGATAGTTTTTAAGATAATAGCACTTATATTGATTTGATTTTCCCTTCTTTACCGATTTATTTTACATTTTTATTTTCTCTGTTTCTTACTGTTGCTTATTATCAACTTGTGATTCATTCCCTTACCCCGCCTCCCAGTTAATGTGGAAATTTTGTTATAATGTCTTGTTTCATTAATATAGTTAATACAGGTTGAGCATCCCTAATCTGAAAATCCAAAACTTGAAATGCTTCAAAATCTGAAACTTTTGAGTACTGACATGACCCACAAAGTGGAAAATTCCACTCCTGGTCTCATGTGATAAGTTACAGTCAAAACTTTTGTTTCATGCACAAAATTATTAAAAAGATTGTATAAAATTATCTTAGATTATGTGTATAAAGTTTATATGAAACATAAATGAATTTCATGTTTAGACTTGGGTCCCATCCCCAAGATAGGATAATATTCCAGAATCTGGAAAAAAAAAAAAAAAAAAAAAAAAAGATAATATTCCAAAATCCGAAAAAATCCAAAACACTTCTGGTCCCAAGCATTTTGGGTAGGGGATTCGCACCTTGTGCCCCTTTTCCTGTACTAGTACTTATTTCTCCTATGTTGAAAACAAGATTTTCAACCATTACTCTAGCAAAATGAGTCCTTTAGATTATTTTTATTTATTTTCTTCCCCATCATGTTCTTTTTTTTAGTTTTAATTTTTATTTTTTTTGAGATGGAGTCTCACTTTGTTGCCCAGGCTGGAGTGCAGTGGCGCGATCTCAGCTCACTGCAAGCTCCGCCTCCTGGGTTCACGCCATTCTCCTGCCTCAGCCTCCTGAGTAGCTGGGACTACAGGCGCCCGCCACCACGCCTGGCTAATTTTTTTTGTATTTTTAGTAGAGACGGGGTTTCACTGTGTTTGCCAGGATGGTCTTGATCTCCTGACCTCGTGATCTGCCCGCCTCGGCCTCCAAAAGTGCTGGGATTACAGGCTTGAGCCACTGTGCCTGGCCCCCCCTCATGTTCTAATTCCAGAAGACCTTAGAACATTTTTTGTGACTCAAATTCTAGATTTTGCTCAGTTAATTTATTTCTTTTGGTTTTGGTATTTTTCTTCCAGTTTTGTTCAATATTAATAACTAGTATTCTTTTGGTTAGAATTTGTCTGATAAATCTTTCTTTATCCTTTTACTTTAATAAATAGAGCAACATAATCTGTACTCTTTTTAAAAATTATAATTACTGCAAGATAGCCTGTGTAACTACAGCTGCAAGTCATTGATTTGTTTTTATTTACAAGCATCAATATTTTACAAAACTGAATTTTGAGAGCTGATATCATTCTTCCTTGAAAATTGAAGTAATTTAAAAAATACTTTTGCAGTAGTGACGTAGCTAAGATCTGAACATTTTAAATTATCCTCCTAAATAATAAAATATAATGTTCTTATTTATATGATCAGTCCTTTTGGCCTATGGCAGTTTATACTCTGCCAGGATTTTGGTTTGTTGAAGTATAATACAAGTTTAGGTCTTATTTTACTAGATAATCAAAACTGACTTGAACATAGGAATCTTTTTGTTCAAGACTTACCTTTAAAATTCTTGCCCATTTCCCCTTGGGTTAAATGCTTTTTGTTTGTTTGTTTTAAAGACCCCGTGTCTGCTTTGTGTTTATTTTTTTGAATGGGAAAAAATGAAAATGAAGTTAAAGAGAGGACTCTAACTTGGGGTGTTGAATTTCAGTATAGATTTTTTAAAAGAGTAACTTAGTAATTAACCAAAACTTGCTTGAACTTGAGTCTTTATGTTTAGACTTACTTTTAAAATTCTTAACCCGTTTCTTTTATTTTATAGCATAAATGAGATTTTTGGTTGGTTTATCTTTTTAGTTAGAATAAATGAAGTTAAAGATTCTAACCTGTATAACTTCTGTTGCCATGTGAACCTTTGATGAATGGCCCTTGTTTCTTTTCAAATGTAAATGCTTGTTCATATTCTCAGAAGCCCAGTAGTTTAATTAAAAATCCAGAATCTAGAATATCTTTTAGTTTTTTGGTTTTTTTTTTTTAAAAGTAAATTTGTAAAAGTTAGGCCTTGGCATGACCATGGGTATTCTGGCCACAACTAAAATGACTTCAGAGAGTTTTGTGTACGTGGAATGTATAATGTATATATGTATGTACATACACAAAAATAGATTTAAAAAATCATATCTACCCCCTCAAATCTGGATTTTTAAAATATCTGTGATTGTGTATCAGTATTCTGTTTACTCATGGATGAATTATCTGACTAGATTGTAAGGATATTGGAAATATATTTCCGAGTTTAACTTCTGGCCCATTTGGCTTTGTAGAAAGTCTCTGATGGAGCATTAAGGCGACATTTTGTAAAAGGAGCAAATTTTTCTTTTTCTTTCTTTTCTTTTTTTTTTGAGAGTCTGTCACCCAGGCTGGAGTATGGTAGTGTGATTTCGGCTCACCGCAACCTCCACCTCCCAGGTTCAATCTGTTCTTGTGCCTCAGCCTCCTGAGTAGCTGGGATTACAGGTGCCCGCCACCACGCCTGGCTAATTTTTGTATTTTTTGTAGAGATGGGGTTTCGCCGTGTTGGCCAGGCTGGTCTCAAACTCCTGATCTCAGGTAATCCACCTGCCTTAGCCTCCCAAAGTGCTGGGATTACAGGTGTGAGTCACCGTGCCCAAAGGGCCAAATTTTTCTGTTATGATTTGAAAACTAGAAATGTATCTAAAATTATGCTACTGCCAGTGAACCAAGGGAAGTGACTGATAATTATGTTAAAGTTTATTCTCTTTGTGGGGTAAGTTCTGCAAGTGTATAGTCCTATTCTGTGAAATAGTTCTTTGTTTTATTAGGGCTGAAACTACTGCTTTTTATTTTAAAGAAAAGGCCCGTAAATCTAGGAATCTAGTATTTGGTGAATGAGCCTATGCTCATGATTTTTGTAGATTTAGAGTTTGACAAGATCCTGTAATTTAGCTTCTTTAAGCACAGCAGTTCCTGGCTTACAACCCAGGCTAACCTGAGCCTTCTAGAGTCATGCTCTTTTTTTTTTTTTTCCTAATGAACTTTAAATTTTGGAGTGATTTTAGATTTATAGAAAAGTTGCAGAGAGCACAGTTTTCCATTCCCCTTCGCTGTTTTCCCTTTTTACCATATTACATTACCATGGTACATCTGTCAAAACTAAAAAACCAACATTGGTGCATTATTAACTCCAGACTTTATTTGGGTTTCGCCAGTTTTTCCTTTCTGTCACAGGATCCAATCTAGGGTATCACGTTGCATTTAGTTGTCATGTTTTCAGTCTCTCTGGTATATGAGTTTGTCAGTCTTGCCTTGCTTTTTATGACCTTGACATTTTTGAAGAATACTGGCTAGATATCCCACAGAATGTCTCCCAACTTAGGTTTGTCTGATGCTATTCTCGTGACTAGACTGGACAAATGAGTTTTTGCAAAGAATAACACGGAGGCGTAATGCTTTTGTCATCACATTATATTGGGGGTACATGATATCCATGTGACATCACTATTGATGTTAACCTTCACTTATTTAAGATAAGTGTTTGCCAGATTTCACCACTGTAAAGTTACTTTTTCCCTTTTCCTACTCTATTCTCTGGAAGTATAGACTCATGCCCTTTTTACTTTGCTGTTTGTCTGCATATCTATCTATTGGTTTTTACATTCTTACTAAGCCTTAAATTTTTCTATCAGGTAAGTTCTTAGACTGAAAGTGGCTTAAGCTTTTGTCAGTAATATTTGTTTGGGTCTTCATTATGTGAAGAGTTTTTGGCACTTAGAGATGTATAGAGGAGCTGTTTTTGTGTGTATTAGTGTGTATCACGTTGTATTAAAATTAACTGTTTACATATTTCCTCCTCCTATTGGGTCGTAAAACTGAGCACGATCTTTTCCCTTTTTTTTTTTTTTTTTTTTTTTGAAACAAAGTCTCACTCTGTCGCCCAGACTGGAGTGCAGTAGTGAGATCTTGACTCACTGCAGCCTCCACCTGCTAGGTTCAAACAATTCTCCTGCCTCAGCCTCCAGAGTAGCTGGGTTTATAGGCACCTGCCACCACGCCCAGCTAATTTTTGTATTTTTAGTAGAGACAGGGTTTCACCAAAGTCTTGGGCTTTGGCCAAGAATTAAAAACCCTCCAGGTGATTCTCATGGTGACTAAAATTTGAGAAATACTGCCTAAAAGCATGGAAAATGAAAAAATATCAGAGAAAGTGGACAGCTGTTAGTAACTGATTGCAACAGTAAAATTAAATCCCCTCTTTCCCTCCTGTCTCAGGAGTTTGATACTTTTATTATTCTTATTAATAAAATTTTTTATACTTTTACTTTGAAATAAAAAGACATTCTAAATGCTTCTTCCTTAAGTGTCTCTTTCTGTGTAAATGCACTTGCTAGTATGTTTCAGTTTGACAACTAGTTACTAACCAGATTTTTTTTGGTGTGTGTGTGAATGCATTTGATTTAATTGCTTTTGTTTCAGTGGCATACTTTTAATAGGAATAAGTACAATATAATAAGAAAACAAAATCACAACCCAGCAGTATTAAAAGTATTCTGTTCACTTTTGCTCTTTTATTTGGAGGTATAATTTTTGGCTTTAGTTTTGCCAGGGAAACTATTTTCAAGGCAACATGAAATTAATAATATATATTTTTAACTTTCATAAAAATGTGTTGTCTATTGGCAGCAGATGGCTAACGTTGCTTTTTCGCTTCTAGTGTCCACTTTTCCAGGAAATGACTCCCATCTGCAGCAAGAGAAGTGCTGACTGTTAATGTGTACACTAGGCACTTCTCTTAGCTCAGTGCCATTCTGACAATTTCACAGTACATATATTGTGAATTTGGTTGGAAGTGTATGTTAGTCAGATTGTTTTCTTTCTGGAGTTTCAGGCTTTTGGAAATAAAAAGTTTGTGTGTTTCTAAAACTGAAATTGAATTCTTCTAGGTTGGCTAGTGAAAAAGGAGAGGAGAATTCTTGGTTAAGTGTGGTTCCTGGACAAACAGCATCAGCATCATTCGGGAACTTGTTAAAAATGCAAATTCTCAGGCCCAACCTTGCTGGTTAGAAAATTCTGAGTGCAGGGGCCAGAAATCTGTGCTTTATCATGCTGTCCAGGTAATTCTGATGCCTGCTAAAATTTGGGTACCAATGGGTTAAGGTTTAGTTTTATCGCTTGTAAAGGACAGCGTGGTATTGTAAGATTACATATGTGCTGCTAATAAAGCTGATCAAATTTGGAAAAAACAAGAGCTTTGTAGCCAGAAGATGTTGGTTTGAACCCCACTGTATCACTTCTTAAAAATATTATATTGGGCAAGTTACTTAGCATCTTAGCTTCAGTGTGTTCATTTGTAAAATGAGATTGGTAATCCTGGAAATCAGTGATGAATGTTGTTGCATTGAGTGCTCAATAAATAAATTGAGGGGTTGGGTGTGGTGGCTTACTTGATCCCAGAAGTTTGATACCAACCTGAGCAACGTAGTGAGACCCCCATCTCTGCAAAACATAAAAAAATTAGCCAGGCATGGTGACGTACGCATGTAGTCACAGCTACTTGGGAAGCTGAGGTGAGAGACTCACTTGAGCCTGGGAGGTTGAGGCTGCAGCAAGCTGTGTTCTCGCCACTGCATTCCAGCCTGGGCAACAGAGTGAGCCTTTGTCAATAAATTATTAAATAAAATAAACAAATTAAATAAATATATAAATATATGTGAAAGCCCCACAAAACTTAATATATGATTATATGCAAATTTTCTCTGGAAGAAAAAATTTAACAAGAGACTGGGCTCAGTGGCTCACACCTGTAATCCCAGCATTTTGGGAGGCTGGGGTGGGTGGATCGCTTGAGCTCAGAAGTTGGAGACCAACCAGCCTGGGCAACATGGCTAATCCTCATCTCTTTAAAAAAAAAAAAATTAGCTGGGTTTGGTGGCGTTTACCTGTAGACCCAGCTACTTGGGAGACTGAGGTGGGAGGAAGGCTTGAGCCCAGGAGACGGAGGTTGTAGTGAGCCAAGATTGCGTCACTGTGCTGGGCAAAAAACAAACCAACCAAAAAAAAAGAAATAAAAATTTAAGAAACATGCAAGCTTTCTTTTCGTGGTTGCTGGACTCTTTCTAGAGGTTCCAAGTTAGTTTGAGTGATTTCATATGCTAAAAGATAGTTATGGAAAACTTTCATGCTCTGAAAGTGTTGAAGGTACCTTGAATGCTTTAAAATGAAGAGAATATATTCTGGGACAGTCTGTATGCAAATTTTTCCCATTTTGTGCAAGTGCTTTATGTATTAAAAATACTTGTCATGGTTCAAGAATCAATATAAGAAGATATACAGTGAAAAAAATCTCATTTCCACCCCTGCTCTCAATTGCTCCATTTATCCCTATTCTATGCCTAATTTTCTTAATTTCTTATTTATCTTAGAATTTCTTTTTTTTTCTTTTCTTTCTTTCTTTCTTTTTTTTTTTTTTTTTTGAGATGGAGTCTCTCTCTGTTTCCCAGGCTGGAGTGCAGTGGCACAATCTCAGGTCATTGCAGTCTCCACCTCCCAAGGTCAATCAATTCTCCTGCCCCAGCCTCCCAAGTAGCTGGGATTACAGGCATGCGCCACCACGCCTGGCTAATTTTTTTGTATTTTTAGTAGAGATGGAGTTTTACCATGTTGGCCAGGCTGGTTTCGAACTCCTGACCTCAGGTGATCCACCCACCTCAGCCTCCCAAAGTGCTAGGATTACAGGCGTGAGCCACCACGCCCAGCCTATCTTAGAATTTCTTAATGCAAATATAAACAAATATAACTAATTATTTCCTCCTTACCACAAAAGATAACCCACTAAACACACTGTTCAACACTATACTTTTTCATAGTTAACAGTTTATCTTGGATACCTTTTCACTATGAGAGCTCCATGATTCTTTTTTTCCTGGTTAGCATTATTCAAGGCTATCCACAACAAACTGCATCCAATTTAAGTATATAATTTGATGAGTTTTGGCAATTATATGCCTGAAGGCACCACCACAGTTAAGACACACAATGTTCTTTGTGATTTTTTTAATGCTTTATAGTATTTCATTATATGGATATACCATTTTTAAAAATAATTTTTTTACCTTAACTTCCCAGTGTAGAGTATACCATAATTTTTTAAACCAGGTTTTGTAGATGGGCATTTGGGTGCTGATACAAACGGTGCTGCAATTAATCTTTTTCATACAGCATTTCATATGGATAGATTCCCAGATGTGGGATTGCAGAGCCGAAGGGGAAACACATTTGCAATTTGGTAGATGTTGCCAGTTTGCCCTTCATAGGGGTGGTACCAATTTGAGCATGTTAGGGGAAGAAAAATAATTTTTCCTATACCCTTTTAAGTTCTTGGCTGAGAACCCTGTAACAAAAGATAAGAGAAAAACAGAAGTTTATTAACATGTATATTTCATATATACATGGAAGAAACTCAGGAAAGGAGTAACTGTCAAATAGGTGGCTTACAACTCAGGTTTGCTCTTGCTCCTGCTCTTGCCATGTGACACGTCTGCACCCCCTTTGCCTTCTGCCATGATTGGATGCTCCCTGAGGCCTCATGAGAGGCAGATGCTGGAGCCATCTTGGTACACCCTGCAGAACTGTGAGCCAGTTAAGCCTGTTTTCTTTATAAATTACCCAGCCTTAGGTATTTATTTATAGCAATACAAAAACGGACTAAAATACAGCCCCCCCCAGTGTGGCCTTTCCATCCTAGGAGCTGCCCAGGAGTGCCCTGGCTCCTGCAGGGTAGCAGTTGGGAGCCTTATGTCCCACGTTGTGCCCAATCCTTCACCACAGCTAGCTGAAGCCCAAAAATACCAGAACACATCCTCTCCAAATTCTGAGCTATTAGGAATACCTCCTTGGCCATCTCTTGAGTGATCCAGTAAGAAAGAGAAGAAGAGCAGCATCTGACATCCAGCCACGGGCCAGGCACTCACAGCGAGGCCATGTAATTTTCCTACTGAATCTTCAGTGGAGCCTCCCTTATGCCTTTTCCACACCCTGGAATCAAGCTGCCCTGCACTTGGAGTTTTTTGCAACCATGGCTTCCTCCTGGACTTGTTCCTGTGGTCCCACCCAGAAGCCATTCAATGCACAGGAGGACAATTTCCCGTACCCCAAGATTGCACCCTCAGCCAGTCAGCAGCAAGCACCCATTGCCTAGCCACCCCCACCCCTTCCCCAAACTGTCTGAAAAACCCTAGCCCCCAAATTCTTGGGGAGATTGATTTGAGTAATAACTCTGTCTTCCGTGTGGTGTGGCCAGTTTTGCATCAATTAAACTCTTCCTTTACTGCAAAAGAAACTTAGCCTAATATAGCATCTTTAACAAAGAACAATGAATTTTTTTAACTCTTATTTTAGGTTCAGGGGTACATGTACAGGTTTGTTATATAGGTAAATTGCATGTCACGGGGTTTGGTGTGCAGATTATTTTGTCATTCATTTAATAAATGATAGGTAGTTTTTTGAACCTCTTCTTCCCTCCACCCTCACATTGGCCCCATGTCTGTTGTTTCCTTCTTTGTGACCCCATTTACTCCATGTTTAGCTCCCACTTAGAAGCAAGAACATATGGTATTTGTTTTTCTGTTCCTGTGTTAGTTTGCTTAGGATAATGGCCTCCAGCTGTATCCATTTTGCTGCAAAGGACATGATCTTGTTGTTTTTTGTGGCTGTGTAGTATTCCATGGTGTATATGTACCACATTTTTTTAATCCAGTCTACCATTGATGGGCATTTAGGTTGATTCCATGTCTTTGCTATTGTGAATAGTGCTGTGATGAACATATGTGTGCATATGTCTTTATGATAAACAATTTATATTCCTTTGGGTATATACCCAGTAATAGGATTGCTGAGTCATTGATAATTCTGCTTTGAGTTCTTTGAGAAATCACCAGACTTTTCTACAATGGCTGAACTACTTTACATTCCCACCAGCAGCATTAAGTTTGTTATGTAATTCTTCTGGCGACACCTCTAGGCTGATAAGGGTCTGAATTCATTTTGGGCAGGAACTGTTATCCTTCCTTGTAGAGAGGGCAAGAGGGATACCTTTGTAAATTTATATCCTGCTTTTAGGCATATAGAAGGAGGGCAGAGAGCTTTTATTTATTTATTTATTTTTTTGATGCTACTACTTCTCAGTTGCTTTCAGTTCAAAATAATCCTTATGCCAAAGTGGAATGTTTTGGGGTAGCATGCTACCGCTCAGCTCCCACCAGCAGTGTAAAAATTTCCCCACAGTTTAGCTAACAAAGTATATTATGAAACTTTGAGTTTTTGCCAATTAGGTAGAAAATGGTATTTCAGTATAGTTTTAACTTACAGTTTTCATCTGAGATTGGGCATTTTTTTTATGTTAAAGAATGGACCATTTAAGGGATTTGCTTGTCTGTAAAATATCTCTTCAAACTCTTTTTCCATTTTTCTATTGGACTTTTTTTTCTGTTAATTTTTAGGAGCTCTATATATTAGGGAGAGTACTTCTTTCTTTGCATATGTTGTCTTCTCAAATTGTTGTTTGCCTTTGACATTGCAAGAACTTTAGTTGAAGGGTACGTCTCTAAATTTTTACTAAGGATATCTTCCTAAAAATTTCTTAGTTTTTATTTCTTTCTTTTTCTCCCTCCTTTCATCCCTCCCTCATTTTCCTCTTCTTTCCCTCCCAGCCCAATTTCTTAAAAAAGGATTTGAGAGCCTGACGATGATTTATCATTGAACAATAATCAATTCAGTGGGTGGATGTTAAGTGCTTTTAATATATATGACCCTGGTTCATTTATTTTGAAGGCCATGTTTTTGGTATACTGTGCACTGGAGAAAGAACCTGTGCCAATGTCCTTGCCTCCAGCCTTGGTGCCACCATCTAAGAGAAAAACGGTCAGTATATCAGGCTCTGTGCGGTTGATCCCCTCTTCAGCATCAGCCAAGGAATCTTACCACTCCTTACCATCTGTAGGCATTTTACCTACCAAAGCACCATTAAGACAGGTATAGATTTATCAGTGTTAAAGGATTTTTTTTTAACAAAGTACATGGCATTTAACAGTTTACTATTTGACAAAGATAGAGCAATTAAAAGGATAAAAATTTTAGAGCACCATCTCGTTGAACCTGCATAATGTGATACTCCAGAGAAGACAGATATTCCTTCTACATTAGGCCTTGGGTCATATGGATGTTTTATTGGTTTTATTTTGATCTCCCTGGAATTAAAGTTAGAAATGGAAGATGCTCCATGCTAACATGGCATGTTTGCCCTGGCATAATTAATAGTTGTTTTTATTTTTGTTTAATACCTAGTTAACTCTTGATTCTTTGGGATCAAATTATTGAATTCTGGGTTGTCCAAGGCTTTTTTTTTTCTGCCCCCAGCCTGCCTCTTGTCAGATTGAGTAAAGGAAGATAATGACAGGATATGCAAATCAGCCAGTTTGGCTATGGTTAACACTGCTGGGTCAAACTATAAAAAATAAAGATTGAGAATTATCTGAGTATTTTGTTTATACAGACTTTCAGTTACCTATATTAATGTGGGCATTAGTCAAGAGTTAACTATGTTTGAATTTACTCATTTCTTAAAAAAAAGTAAAAATGTGCACCTATGGATAAGTCCTAACTGACCTGTATTTTCTTCTGTTATTTTCTCTTCCCCACAGCATTTTGATTGAGATGTCATATGGAAGTGATACATTGTTGCTCTGAGTTAGTAGGGTAGAATTGTTCAGAATTTGTGATGGATATTGTAATGGATTGAAAGAGTGACACTTCAAAGTTTGTTTCATTTTGGCAGAAATACTGTTTTTTTTCCTCCCTGTAGTGGGTTGTATCCCCTGCAGAAAAAGCTAAATATGATGAAATCTTCCTGAAAACTGATAAAGATATGGACGGATTTGTGTCTGGATTGGAGGTCCGTGAAATATTCTTGAAAACAGGTTTACCTTCTACCTTACTAGCCCATATATGGTAAGACTTTATTTGAATTGATTTTTTAAAAATATGGTTTTGTATCAATTCCAGTTTCTGCATTTTGATTTTTAGTCATTTGTAAATAGGACAGTTTTTGTTTCAGAATTTTTTATAGAGAAAATCAGAATCTGAAGAATTCTTCTGGCTAATGGACAAAAGCTTGAGAATGGGTTACCT
Source organism: Homo sapiens (assembly GCF_000001405.40). NCBI lineage: Eukaryota > Metazoa > Chordata > Mammalia > Primates > Hominidae > Homo > Homo sapiens. The sequence continues at coordinate 51,446,779 of NC_000001.11, read as the reverse complement.
GAAGCTTTATAAGATTGACAGCATCCGCTGGGCATGGTGGCTCACGCCTGTAATCCCAGCACTTTGGGAGGCCGAGGTGGGTGGATCACCTGAGGTCGGGAGTTTGAGACCAGCTTGGCCAACATGGTGAAAAGCTGTCTCTACTAAAAACACAAAAAATTAGCCAGACATGGTGGTGTGCGCCTGTAGTTCCAGCTACTCGGGAGGGTGAGGCAGGAGAATTGCTTGAACCTGGGAGGTGGAGGTTGCAGTGAGCTGAGATCACGCCATTGCACTCCAGCCTGGGCAACAAGAATGAAACTCCATCTCAAAAAAAAAAAAAAAAAGAATGACAGTGTCAGTTAATTGTTATTAGAATGTTAAAATCCAGCTTCTGTTTATATCAATTAAACTTAAAATTTTCAGAGAGAATCCAGATATCTGAAATTTAAACAATGTAAAAAACAGTATCTTCAAGGCATACCTGCATAATTTTATAGTGTATATGTATACTTTCATACCTTCACATAGGAATAACATACTTGGTCCTTGAAAAGGCAAACCCTAGTGTCTTTAATGAATTTCACAGAAAATGAGATAATGTATATGAAAATGCTTTATAGTTTGTCTGCCGCCAATCCACCTAACGATACCAGAGGTTATCTTCAGGTTTTCAAGAGGCAGAAACGTCACAAGTGGGGCCACATGGTTGTAAAGAGAAACTTAGAAAAGAAGGGAGGCAGACAGTAAGTAGATCTGCCTTAAAAGAAACAAGAACCCAAGACTGGGAAAGATTAAATATGCATAACTAGTAGTAGCTGCCACTATTGAGTGCCTAGGGTAGGCACTATACTCAATAAATGGCAGTTGTCACGGGCTTAATGTTATGCCTAAGCTTTTTATATATCCTGTCTTTAATTCTCATAGTAATTTCGCAAGATGGGTGTTATCATCTCCACTTTATAGATGAGGAAACTAAGATTTGGAGAGGTTAAAAAACTTAGCCAAGGTTATAAGAAGAAATAAGTAGAAAAGCTGGAATTTAAGATCTATGTGACATGTAGTCTTTTTACTTATGTAGTCTTTTCATCAGGCCCTACTGGCCTTCAGTGCATTAAACAGATCAGGATTTCAGAAAGCTGAGCTTTTTTTTTTTTTAATTACAGAAAAAGAAAGTAGAGTAAAACCTTTGCAGTTTCTCTTCAAGTGATTGTGTAAAGCTTTCCAGATTGCTGCCTTTTCCTCACATGTGATTTCCATTTGCAGCTGTTTATTCTGCTTTGGCTTGGTGATCCTTGTATCCTCCTACTCCAAGAGTTGCAGGAGGCATAGCAATATCAAAATTGTGCTTGTTTTAGAATCCTTCTAATGCCACCAGTGAATCAAATTTGTTGAGACTTAGATTTTATCTTTAATATCTTTTAATGTTAAAAATGTTGGGTGTAAGGAATGTTAGGATTCTTTGGCCCACCACAACTTTTACTGTATAGTGGTTCTGAAAATTGGTAAGAAAACACAAAGTGTAAACCCAGATTAGAGGCTCCTGCTCAGCACCAGGGTGAACATTCTCTTTTTACCATCTTAGCTGATCTACCTCTTCGAACAGTTGAGTGAGTTTTTAATAACCTGCAAGTTGGTGTGACTGTCTTTTTAAATTCACCTCATTATTTTAAAAAAGCTGCATAGTGGTACTTTTTCTCTGGACTTTTTGCAGTTGTGGCACTTACATACCATTCATTTTGTTTATTTGTGCAGGTCATTATGCGACACAAAGGACTGTGGGAAGCTTTCAAAGGATCAGTTTGCCTTGGCTTTTCACTTAATCAGTCAGAAGTTAATCAAGGGCATTGATCCTCCTCACGTTCTTACTCCTGAAATGATTCCACCATCAGACAGGGCCAGTTTACAAAAGGTAAGAAAGCTTAAAAGGAAACCTGAATGTATTAATTTCAAAGGAACAATACTATGTCGAATTACAGATTCAATTTGGATGAAATAGAAGAGAAAATGTATCTGGCTAAGAGCAGAACAGTATACTGTTTGTGGTTTAGTTTGTGCCTATAAATATGCTGGAGTGCCTTGTATAACATCCTTGGCCAGTAGCTTGTTTACCCCATTCATTAAACATGACAACTATATTTCCAGTCTTAAAATTGGAAAATGTGGGCTTATTTTTCCTTTCCTGGATTTGTGAATTAAGTTTTATGAATAGATTATAAAAGGAAAGCTATAAAAATTAAATTATTGTGTTTCACTTGATGATTCACTCTTACATAAAATGATACAGATTTGAAAACAGAATCTTGCATATGATGGTTGCTTGGTGTCAATTTTACATCAAAAAAGCCTCCAAGGAAAACATTATGTTGAGGATGTATCTGTGCGGTTTTTGCTGTAGGTGACCTTTTGTTCCTGAGTATACCACTGAACTTCATATTTGAACAGCTAGAAGTGGGTTTTACCTAGTTTTGGTTTCTGGACAGCAGTGAGAATTTTCAAAACTTCATTGTTTTAGTCATGCCTTGATTTTTCTCTCCTCATGTAGAAACCCTTCCTAGTATGATGCATTTGCAATATCTTGGCCTTTAATAGACCTTTGAAAGGACTTGCATACCATAGTGGCTATTTGCCTTTAAAAATAAATACTTTGTATTTTTAAATCTCTTATGGCCTATAAAGTATAACCATGGCTGTGGAGATTTTTCAGGGTTGTTATACAGTAATAAGAGTTGTCAAATGTGTGGTATGAGGAGAGCTCTTTAAAATATCATAGAATATTTTGGGTTTTGCATTAATTTTGTCACATGGTTCTTAAAAATCCCATTTTAAAAAGATTAATAAAAACCAAATTGGGACCAAGCACAGTGGCTCACACCTGTAAACCCAGTATTTTGTGAGTCCGAGGTGGGAGGATCACTTGAGGCCAGGAGTTCCTGGGCAACATAGCAAGACCCTGTCTCTACAAAACAAAAACAAAAAAATTAGCCAGGTGCGTTGGCGTGTACCTGTAGTTCTAGCTACTCGGGAGGCTGAGGCAGGAGGATCACTTGAACCCAGGAGTTTGAGGTTGCAGTGAGCTAAGTAAGATCCAACTGCTACACTCCAGCCGGGGCAACAGAGCAAGACCCTGTCTCTTAAAAAAAGAAAGAAAGAAAGAAAGAAAGAAAATTGGATTTTTTTGGTAAGCTAAATGGAATTTATAGCTACCAGGTATGGAGAGTTACTTATAGAAGTTTTTGTCCTTATTTGTAATAAAATAAATATTTTATTATCTGCTTTGTGAGTTATGGGGGGGGCCTTTTTGTGAATTTTTTGATTCCTTATGATGTATGACATGAGTCCCTTAAGTTGTGGAAAAGGCTGAAAGTGATGCCACCCAGAAGGATAAAGGTTACTGAATATGCATTTTTGCTCTTTGCTATATAACTGTACCTCAGTTATGGAATACTGTGTTGTTTCATGCTTTCTTTCACCTATGCAGACTGCTTTTTTTTTTTCTGCCTTCTTCATTTTATAACCTATTCAATTGCCTACCAACACAAATTTTAGATATGACAGAAATTTCTGAAGCAAATTAAAAGTTTGAAGTCTATGTTAGTAGATGCTTGAAGTTGCATGAGGTATAGTTTTTAATTTAGTAGATTTGTCTGAAGTTCATTCACTAGATCATAGATACGTTTGTCTATTTATGTCAGATACCAGTATTATTCATTGAAATGGGAATTTATCACTGCTATCTTATCTATTAACCCAAAATTTTAACTTTAAAAATGAAAACTTGCATTGTTTTATCTTTCAAATAACCTCTTTTCTCTTTAATCTGGTTTTTTTAGTACTGCATTTTTTGCAGCTTTGACTAATCCTTTTTTGAATGTTGCTTTCCTTTCTGTGTTTTTTCTAGTTTGGACTATTTTTTCCATTCTGCAGCACTCTGCTTTTCGCCTTTCTTGTACTGTCAGTTTCTTAACTCTACTCTCTCTCAAGGTTAGAGCTTTACTTTATGCCTTTTTTAGCTTTGTGGTTTTTGGTTTACAAGATACATTTTGAAATGAGAGGTTTTTTATTCAGCAAAAAAAAGAAAATTCCTAAACAGCATGCTTTTGTCACATGTCACTTGGTCCTTGTGTGCATTTTAGTCTGCCTTCCCTAGGCTCTCTGATCCACTTAACATCACCAAAGTAGAATTTTTGTGTAATGCACAAGAATAGGGTAAGAGAAAACATTTTGAAAGAAGGGGACATGCTACATATTTTTTCTCATATACCCTTCAAATGCTACATAAAATATTAACTAAACTTTTTTCAGTATCTGGGGTGTCACTTTCTAACTTGTTTGAGGTTAAACTAATTTGTCTCACTTTGTCTTCTTATTTGATGATATTTTTACAGGCAAGACTATAAAATGTGAGTCACCTTTTTTTGAGTTAGAGTGACAGAGGAGATGTGGTAGTCACAAGTTCTTTGGTACATTTGCACCTCTGATAGCAAATTTCTGATAGCATTTAAGTGAAGTAATTTACTCTTGCTGATAAAAGTGAGACCAAGTGCTAATGTTTCATTTTGTTTAGCTGTCTGGCCAGGCCTAGCTCATAGGTCAAGTTTAGATAGAGTTAAAATACTAGTGAATAATTGTCACATTCAGAAATCCACTTTAAAATATCTAATTTAATTTAACACTGATAAGTTTTTGTGTATCAGTGGAACACAGAAAATAGGAGGTATATTTCATACAAAGCTGTAATTAATATAAAATTGAGATTAGTATTAAACCTTTGTAGATGAGTTTTGGTACTGATAGTCAAAACAGCTCAGTACTAAAACTGCAGTGTGGCATAAAGAAATACAGAAGGAATTACTTGCCAAATTTTATTGATGTACCTGTTTTATCAAATTTACTTTTAGAGTAATAATTTCATTTACCGAAATGATCTTGATATGCAAGTGCCACTGGGGGCATTGCGTGAAATAGCACTTAAATCGGAAGACTCTTGATTAAACTACGTATTGGCTGGGTTCAACTTTGAGCAAGTTATTTAATCTGTTTCTTCAGTTCTAAGATGGGGTTAATAACAATATCTGCCCTACCTACTACCCACTTTTCAGATTAGTTTTGAGAATTAACTAGTGGAATTTAAAGTGCTTAGTGAATTGTAAATGAGTATATAAATATGAGGAGATGGGATATTGTGTGCTTTTAGGTTTCTTCTGTTGTGCAAGTTGTTGACGTAAATTAACTATACAACAACATAAGTATTAACACAAAGTCTTATGTTCTGTTATATAAAGTCAGCAGTATATCTTAGTTTTTAAATGTTCAGGCCTCAGTTTTAACATTTCCAGATGGTAATTATCCTGTTATTTGTTAATCTGGTTGTAGCATTGGGTGTAGATGAAATGTTTGAGGAAGCATTTATCTTTTCGCTCTGACTTCAGCTAGCTATCTGGGGCATCAGTGATAGTTTACAGAGGACATTGAGCCAAGGTAGAAACAACTCAATGGGAGGCCACATCTTTTAAGAGCATATTCTGTTGAAGAGTTAATTATAACAATAGCTTACATTTATAAAATATCACAGTTTGTAGACTGATGTCACATCACATTATTTCATTTAACTTGTAAAGTGGGCAAGGCAGAGATTATTTCCCTATTTTACAGGTGATGATAATGCAGTTAGTAAAATAGCAGGACCCAGAATAAACCCAGCTAGATTTTCTGAATACAAGGACCATTCAGAGACCAATTTTGTAACCTTCATTGTTGAAAGAAAACTGTATGGACAGGATGTCATATATGAAGACAGTTTCATATATGATGGTATTAATATTTATTATGGAACATGCTTGAGCAGTTGGTTTTACTTTAAATAAAATAGACACAGTATGTAACAAAAGTAAAAATTCCTTGAATTAAATAAAATCAACCACTACTGTAGGTCTGAGATTCAACAAAAATTTGTGTGTTTACTCTCAGCCAGTTTATACAAATACAAATAAATCACCATCAGTTTCTCTGAGAAATTTACACTTCAGTGGAGGAATTAGTTTATGAATCTGGCATCTCTTTTACTGCAAGGTTCTGAACAGGCTAGGATCAAGTGACAAAGACATTCGGATCGGAGGTGGGGATGGGGTACATAGTATAGAATAACAGTTTTCGGAGAATTTAAGGGAAATGTAAATGTCTTACTATATAATTAAGTATAAAATTATATATAATTGTACTAGATATGATTTTCTTAATTAAAAATCTCAGTAATACAGTAAAATATGCAATACCTTATATCTGCGTAGAGCTTTAATATTTTTAGTGTTTTGTCTTATATTACCTAATTTTATAGTAATGTATAATTGTGAACTTTTTGTTTTTAGAACATCATAGGATCAAGTCCTGTTGCAGATTTCTCTGCTATTAAGGAACTAGATACTCTTAACAATGAAATAGTTGACCTACAGAGGTATGTAAAGCAAAATTACAGCCTACTCACATACACACACACACACACACACACACACACACACACACAGTACATGTATATATGTATACAACTTCCTCCCCACACACACCTTTCTGTTTCTAATGTATATTTTGATAAATGCTACCTAATATTTGGTTAAGTACCACAGTTCTGTTTAAACGGAGTCAGTGTACTTCATCATATATGAGGCAACCTTTAATTGCAGGATACACTGTTTACTTATGTACCACTGAAAAGTCACTGCCAAATAAACAATGACGTGCCATTAACTATAAGGTACTGTTTGATTTCATTTAGAGAAAAATGCGAAAAAACGTATATCCTAGAATGACTGAAAAATAGTTTTTCTCCAACCTTAGATATTTGAATAACATATTAGAAAAACATTATCATTTAATACATTTAATAGATGGAATGTTAAATTCAGACACCATGCCAAGAGCTTTCATAATTGTTACTTGACCCTCACACAAACCTTGTAATTTGAGATAGGTGGTGGTGTTTCTGTTTTACAGGTAAGAAACTTAAGATGCTTAGATATTTTGCCCAAAATGATACAAGCTTGTCAGCTGCAGAGCTGATACCTGATCCCAGGACTACTTTATTCTAAGTTGAATCTTCTTTCTTATACATAGGTACTATGTAGAACAGACTCAAATACAATTTGATTTGAATCTGAGTATAGCAGATATTATTGGTACTTCCTTAATTTCCGTGTTCCCTGGAAACTTTATAGTAATACTGATTGTAAAAATGACTATAAAATTACTTTTTAAAAGTGAGATAATTTTTCTGTCTACAGGGCACTGTATCTAAATATTCACACCAGTCTTTTTCTTTTTTTAACCCTCACAACACTTTGAAGCAGATAATGGCTGATATACTTTATTTTACTGACAGTATTGAGATATAAGGAGATTAAATGAGTTAACTGCCTTATATGGCAATAATTTGGCAATGATCTTAACCTTATCTGTGAGACTATGTTGAGATTTCTGTAGAAAAACTGGTTGTTAGAATTTTTCAGTTGTAAGAAAGAACTAAACCCAAACTAAGAGTGAAATTTATTGACTTGTGAAACTGAAACCTTTCAGAGGTAGGGCTGGCTTAAAGCATTCCTTGATATTGAGGCTCAGATGATATAATCAGTTCTCTTGCTCTCCATTTCTTGTTTCCATTTCCACTGGGTTGATTCCATTCTCAGATAGACTTTCTCCTTATTTTGGCAAGAGGGCTATAGTACATCTAGCTACATGTACTTATAATTTCAAATTTGGTGAAGAGTGCCTCTCTTCTGGCATTTCCTGGAAAAGACCTGAAATTCAGTCTGATTGGATTGGCTTATTGGCCTTTTCCTATGACATAAAACTTCTAATATTGAAATCTGACCAGGGCAAAAAACACTTCGTGGTGATTGTATAGTTTAATTTTGTCCTTACTCACGGAAAAAAAAAAATCAAATCCAAAGTCACACATCACGTTAAGAGACAGTATTGGTATCAAAACCAGGTTGTATAAGTTCAGCATTCTTTCTGTTATACAATTCTGCCACTCATTAGGATTTTTAAATTTTTGACTTTGTTGCAAAATAGAAGTAGTAAACAATTACTGAACCTATAATGGTGTTTATACTGTTCATTTTCATGTGGTCCATAAATGGTCCATAAACATTTTTGCTTTCCTTATATATGTAATATACATGTTATAGTAGGTAGATTTGAAAATACTTATCATCTGGGCCTCTTAAGCCTATGAAAATGGATACATACACCAATGTTCTAGGACTTGCTTGATTTGACTTCAAGTGTACTTGTTTAATGTATAAAATATTTCTATAATGAATTTTAATGGGAATTAGAGCATCATAGAAAAAATGCTCTTACTGTTGAAAACATTATTTGTTACATTTTGGTCAACTAATCTTTCAATAACTTTTAGTAACTATAATGTTAAGTTGTACCAGTGGCAGTCTTATATAGTAAATGGCAGCTGACAGCATGAAAATAACATATCTAATATTTTGTGACTATCTTATTAGGAAAATCAGAGAATTTCAAAACCTTGTTAGTTTTTAGGGTATAGTCACATTTTATAAATGTGCGGTATATTTATACATGATTTGACGTTTGTGAAAATATTTTCCCTGGACTTTTATTTTAGATGAGATCTACAGTGTAGGCAAACTTATATAATCTGTCAACTCCATTAGTGTCATAGTCAGACTCATCCCCATGCTAAAATTATAGTTGTTAAAATACGCTTTTGTAAATAGTTGTGTTAGGTCATTATCACCAAGTCTTCAAGGTATTACATTATAAAAACCTTGGTTTTTATTCTTGTGAATAACCGTTTTTTCCATGCAAAGTTAAAATTCTTCAGCCTTTAATTTTTTTATTAATATATAAGGATGTGATGAGTATGACTACAAAACAGGAAAAAATAAACAGATTTCGTTTGTGGCTTTTGCTAAATTGTTACCTGACAAAATCTTAGCCAGTTCTTCATTTTCGTTTTGAGATGAAGATACTTAGTTTTAGTCCAGGGGCTGGGCGCGATAGCTGATGCCTGTAATCCCAGTACTTTGCGGGGCCGAGGCAGGTGGATCACTTAAGGTCAGGAGTTTGAGACCAGCCTGCCCAACATGGTGAAACGTTGTCTCTACTAAAAATACAAAAATTAGACAGGCGTGGTGGCACACATCTGTAATTCCAGCTACTCAGGAGGCTAACACAGGAAAATTCCTTGAACCTGGGAGGCAGAGGTTGCAGTGAGCCATTGCACTCCAGCCTGGGCAACACAGTGAGACTCTTGTCTCAAAAAAAAAAAAAAAAAATTTTTTTTTTTTAGTCCAGGGATCAAACCTCTAAGTAAGCAGCATGTATGATGTGAAATTGTAATTACTGTATAATGAATGTAGTACTTTATAATACTTTTTTCTTAATGATAGTTATAATACATATTCATTGTAAAATTCAGGAAATAGATAAATGCATAATGAAAAAAGGAATATATTTCTTAGAATCATATTTTGTTTTGAGCATTGCAAACCAATGGAAATATTGAAAGCTATATATAAACTTGAGTTAGTTGGGTGAAGAATGTTCTTTGTTATTGGTCAGAAAATGAGATTTCGTTGTCTTTGTTTTCATCTTTAGTTCACCAAATTGTTTCTAGTAGAAAATATAAGACATTGGGAGCTTGAAGTGCGAGATACCTTTAGGTATATTTTAAAATTTTTTTCTGTGATTTCTTCAACATTTGCTATTAATTAAATGATTTAATTATGCCAATTAGATTAAATTAGTATGATATTTTTAACTTAAGGAAAAGCAATACAGGTAGTTGTAATATAACACTCATCGAATATCTGAATCTCTTACTTGAGCTCAAGACCTGTATTTTTCATTGCCTACTAGTGTTTTCATCTGAACATCTAGTAGGATATGAATTCCCTAATTGTCCCCTCACCTCTGTTTTGTATCTCCCTTCTCAGTGACATCACCATTCACCCAATCACTCAAGCTAGAAACCTGAGATTTTTCTTCTTCTCATCTTTAGTCTTCTACCTTTGAAATGTCTGTTGAATTGATTCCTTACCTTCCCATCTCTTTTGTCTAATCAACTTCTCACTCTTCAAATCTCATCTTAGACATCATTTCCTCTGGGAGAGGAAGCCTTCCTTGATTTACCTCCCAACCTCCATACTCTCTTCAAGTCTTATTTAAGAGCCTATTTTATGTAGTCTTTATATTTACAACTGTTATAACACTTATCATTCTTTGTTATAATTCTGTGTTTTTTAATCTCCCACTAGATTATGTGCTTCTTAAACACGGGCTGCTTGTATCCCTAGTGTTTAGCTCATAATAGATGAGAAAATAATTTTTTCAATATTGTTGAAATCTGTCTTCTCTGTTTTCTATGTTTCCTTCTTAGTTTTAGCCTTTGTCTTTTATCTGGATCATGGCTGTAACCTCCTCATTGGCTCTCTGCTTTGAGCCTTTTCCTCCTTTGGACCATCCTACTTCCAACTGATATATAAAATACAACTCAGATCCCTCAGTGACTTCCCATCTCCAACTGAATCCAGTTCACTTCTTTGAACATGGTGTAAAGGCTCTTCCTTCATGGTGTTCTCTTGGCATTCTGACCGTTCTGTCTTAGCCACCTCTCACAGTATGCTGCCCTGTGGTACTAAAAAGCTATTTGAGAACAGATACAGTGTGTTTGCTCTTTGTACTCTGAGTGTTCAGTACAGTACTCGAATCTACTATTTCAGCTTTGTTCCCTTTCTCCAGTCGTATGATAGATGGGTTTATTACCTCTTACTTCAACATACCACCACTTTTATTCTTCTATGCCTCTGATCCTACTGTTCGCCTTTGCCTGGAGCATACCTTTTACCTTATAAAGTTTTGTTCATGTTCAAGACCCGTCTTAAATATTGTCTCTTCTGTCAAGCCTTCCATGAAATCTTCAGATTACTTTTCTTTCCTCTTCTTCCAGAGGCTTTATTCGTTTATTGTAGTATTTCTACTGTTTAACTATAGTAATTTATATTGCTTTTTTGGTAAATTTTTAATTCCTAAGGGCAAGAGCTATGTCTTGTTCATTTTGATAGGCCTAGAAATTAACACACACATTACTTAACACCGAGGAATAGGCTAGTTGGTTGAATGAATGACGCAAAGTATGTTATAAATATTAGAATATTTCCAAGACTTACTTCCTGCAAAGTTTATGGCAGAATAGAAGCCATGTGTTAAATGTTGAACTAAGGCAAAGACCTTCTGAATAATAGCTTATTTTGAAGACTATAGGAAAGGATTTTAGGCCGGACACAGTGGCTCACACCTGTAATCCCAGCACTTTGGGAGGCTGCAGCGTGTGGATCACCTGAGGTCAGGAGTTTGAGACCAGCTTGGCCAACATGGCGAAACCTCATCTGTACTAAAAATACAAAAATTAGCCAGGCGTGGTGGCGCATGCCTATAATCCCAGCTACTCAGGAGGCTGAGACACGAGAATCGCTTGAACCTGGGTGGCAGAAGTTGCAGTGAGCCGAGATCACTCACAGCCGAGATCACTCCAGCTTAGGCAACAGAGTGAGACTCAGTCTCAAAAAAAGAAAAAAGAAAAAAGAAAAAGAAAAGGATTTTATATATAAAAGGTTTTTGAATCCTCACAGGAACATTAAGGTTAGTGGGCTGATTTTTTTTTTTAAATATTCTGCAGACTTAGTTTTTCTTTTTTTTCACATGTTTAAAAATTGTGATAAAATACACATAACATAGTAATTTATCATCTTAACCATTTTTAAACATACAATTCAGTGGTATGAAATATATTCACATGGCCAGGCACAGTGGCTCATGCCTGTAATCCCAGCACTTTGGGAGGCTGAGATGGGTGAATCACCTCAGGTCAGGAGTTCGAGACCAGCCTGCCCAACATGATGAAACTCCGTCTCTACTAAAAATACAAAAATTAGCTGGGCATGGTGGCAGGTGCCTGGAATCCCAGTTACTCAGGAGGCTGAGGCAGCAGAATCGCTTGAACCCGGGAGGTGGAGGTTACGGTGAGCCGAGATTACGCCACTGCACTCCAGCCTGGGAGACAAGTGCGAGACTCCGTCTCAAAAAAAGAAAAAGAAATATATTCACAGTGTTGTGCAACCATCATCACCATTCATTTCCAAGACTTTTCATCTTACAAAACTGAAACCCCATACCCATTAAACAATAACTCCCCATACTCTACTCCCTCCCATTTTCCCCGCCCTTCCTCATAGCAGCCACCATTCTATTATACTTTCTATCTCTATGATTTTGACTACTGTAACTATCTCATATAAGCAGAATCGTGAGATATTTGTCTTTTTATGACTATCTTATTTCACTCAGCATAATATCCTCAGGGTTCTTCTGTGTTGTGGCATATGTCAGAATTTCCTTCCTTTTTCAGGCTGAATAATAATTCCATTGTACTTACATACCACATTTGTTTACCTGTTCATCTATTGATGGACATTTGGGTTGTTTCCACATTTTAGCTATTATGAATAACGCTGCTATGAACATGAACATACAAATACCATTTCAAGACCCTGCTGTCAGTTCTTTGGAGTATATTTGCAAAAGTGGAATTGCTGAATCATGGTAATTGCAGACCTGTTTTTGTGTCAAGGATTTCCTTTGAAAATCTGATGAAGACTGTTATACCCTGCCCACAGAAAAAAAGAACATGTATATCTGTGATACTATTTTGTATTTATTTCAGGAGTTCCCAGACACTTAAAAACTATCTGTGGACCCATTCTTGAGAGCTGTTGCTGTGACAGTAAAATGCCTCAGTTAGAGAAGTTCTTGGCAGTGGAAAAGATGAAACTACTAAGAGAGTGCTTCAGTCACTTGGATAATGTGGTAGTGGTAAATTATGCTGAGGCAGGAGTTAATATTTTGTCATCTACTAGCTTCCATTTCCTTCCTGTCTCTGTCCTTTTAGCAAGAACATCAGGAAGTTAAAGCCACATCCTGTCAGGCCTGTTTGTTATCCTGGTCTTGGGCCAGTAAACAGGATAGATAATTAGAATAATAGTTATCAGGCATTGTACTGTGCCTTCTTTATGTAAGTTCACTTGCTGAGCTCTTGTAACATCCCTGAAGGGTAATAACTTTATTTCAGTTTTTCAGATGAAGAAATGAACTAGTCTTCATTTCCACGAAGTTTTCCCTGATTATCTACCTCAGCTCAGAGAGCACTCAATTTCCTTCTCTCCCAGTAGATTCTCGACTCTGTGTGATGGCACAGGCCAACTCTTACTTCTAATGAGGCAATATAGTGTAGTATTTCAGAGCATGGGCTTTTTAACCAGATTTCCAGATTGCCTGACATGACCTGGATATACTTAACTATCTGTACCTCAGTTTATTTATCTGTAAAATGGAAATATGAATAACCATGTACAATGCTTAACGCAATGCTTGGAACATAGTAAGTTCTCAATACATGTTAGTATTTATCATCATCATCCCCAACACCGAGTTCAGCACTTAGAGTACAGGATTTACTCAATAGCTGTTCACTAAATATTGGTTGGAGTAGCTGAATGAACTTTCTTTCTCTAGTTGAAGAGTGAATGGAACTATGTAGCCAGGTAGCCAGATTCTGTGTTCCTAAATATATAGACCTCTACTTCAGTCATATTCAAGAACCGATTTTTTAAAATTTCTAAATCCTAGCATATGGTTCAAATTTTTAAAAATTCTATGTTTTTGTTTTAGTTCAGTTCAAATATCATTAGAAACCATTATGTCTGGAGAGTTCATTGCTTATATTATCAAATCTGGAGCTCTTTTGCTTATGATCCAACTTGATGTGTTTGTGACCCTCTAAAGATCTGTGACACTGACACTAAAAGGTCTCTTTTGTGACTCTGCCTTAAGAATGGTATTACTGGTTAAATAATTGAAGCTCTAGGTTGCGGTGTGCATTTCTTTGATAGTAAGGAGGCAGCCTAATTCATTTTCACATAAAGTGTATAGATCATCATTAAAACCTCTGTTTTGGGAGACTCTCCTTACTTGAAAACCTCCTTGCTAAAGTCTGAACCTGTGCTGTCCAGTATAGTAGCCACTAGCTGTGTGGTGATTGAGCACTTGAAATATGGCTAGTCCAATTTAAGATGTGTTGTTAGTATAAAATATACTGGATTTCAAAGATTTAGAATGAAAAAAAATGTAAAATATCTTAGTATTTTTCATCTTTATTACATTTTGAAATATTACATTAAAATAAATTTCACTCATTTCTTTTTATTTTTTAATGTGTGCCTGTTAGATCATTTAAAAATTACTTAGGCTGGGCATGGTGGCTCACATCTGTAATCCCAGGACTTTGGGAGGCCAAGGCAAGAGAATTGCTGAGGCCAGGAGTTGAGATCACCCTGGGCAACAAAGCAAGTCTCTATTAAATATATACATACATACATACATACATACATACATACATACATACATACATACATAATCTATGTGGCTTCTTTGTACCTGTTCTGAGTTAGAATTATTATACATTTCATTTGCTTGTACTGTTTTGTGGCTCTGGTAGCTTACTAAGGGACACTTACCTCTTTTAATACAGCAATAATTATTGAGATGTATTATAGTCTGTCTTTGGAAAGCAAAAGCATCTACCAAGAAATTTCAACTCCTGGAGGATTTAAGAGTCACAGTCTCTGCCGACATACTGGAGGCCTGATTGCCATCACTCCAGGTGCTTTATTACAGCTTTCAAAAAGCCAGTAAATGTATTTTTATACTAGTAAACAATGTAATGGTAATAATAATAATAGCTGAAATTTATTTAGCACTTAACTACATGCCAGGCATTGCTCTGGAGTCTTTCTAGATGTAACATAAATTAATCCTGCCCATCAACTTTATTATCCCTATTTTGTAATTCAGAAAGTTAAGGTTTCGTTTTATATTTCTTTTCTGTTAGTTTCTTTTAATCTCATTTTGTCCTGCCAGATAAGTAGAATAAATTATTATGGATTTGCAAAATAAATTTATATTTCTGGCCAGGCGCGGTAACTCACGCCTGTAATCCCAGCACTTTGGGAGGCCGAGGTGGGAGGATCACCTGAGGGTCAGGAGTTTGAAACCAGCCTGGCCAATAAGGTGAAACCCCGTCTCTAGTAAAAATACAAAAATTAGTCGGGCGTGGTGGTGCACACCTGTAATCCCAGCTTCTCTGAAGGCCGAGACAGGAGAACTGCTTGAACCCGGGAGGCAGAGGTTGTAGTGAGCCAAGATTGCCCCACTGCATTCTCGCCTGGGTGACAGAGTGAGACTCTGTCTCCAAAAAAAAAAAGAAAAGAAATTATTTCACCTTTGTAAAATGAACCATCTGATTTTGGGACCTGCCACTAAGGGGGTGTGCTTTGTCATATAAGCCACACCCCAAAGTTTGTATTTTTTCTGATTCTACTTAGGCTCTCTTTTCAGTTACTTACACCCATAAATATATTCTCTTATTTTTAAAAATAAAACCCATTAAAAACAGCCAGTCTCTCAGAACTAAGTAAGAACATTAGTTATTCCCATAGTACCATCATACTTTCACAGAATTTATCTTTAATTTTTATAATTAATGGCTACTAATTTTCCCCAGCAAACTATAAATAGAGGCCCAACTACAATCTTGTTTGGAATATAGTAGACATTTAATAAATATTTGTTGAAAGAATGAAATTGTATCACATAAAGATTATATAATTAAGGCAAGTTTTATTTTTGTGTGTGTGTGTGTGTGTGTGTGTGTGTGTGTGTGTGTGTGTGTGTGTGTATGTAAGTAATGTATTTTTCAGATAGGGTCAGGCTCTGCTGCCCAGGCTGGAGAGCAGTGGCGTGATCATGGGTCACTTTAGCCTTGACCTCCCAGGCTTAAGCAGTCCTCCCACCTTAGCCTCCTGAGTAGCTGGGACTACAGGCATGTGCCATCATGCCCAGCTAATTAAAAAAAAAAATTTTATAGAGATGTGGGTGTCACTATGTTGCCCAGCATGGTCTCAAACTCTTGGCTCAAGTGGTCCTCCCACTTCAGCCTCCCAAAGTGTTCAGATTACAGTTGTGAACCACTGTGCCTGGCAAAGGAACTTTTAATTTAAAACTTATGGTAAGAATAAATGTCTTTGTTCTCAAACTTTAACCTAAGCTTTTGTGAACTACGAATTCTTGATTTTTTTTTTTTTTTTTGAGACGAAGTCTTGCTCTGTCACCCAGGCAGGAGTGCAGTGACACGATCTTGGCTCACTGCAGCCTCCATCTTTCAGGTTCAAGTGATTCTCCTGCCTCAGCCTCTCAGGTAGCTGGGATTAAGGCATGCACCACCGCACCCGGCTAATTTTTGTATTTTTAGTAGAGATGGGGTTTCAGCGAGTTGGCCAGGCTTGTCTCGAACTCCTGACCTCCAGTGATCTGCCCACCTCGGCCTCCCAAAGTGCTGGGATTAAAAACATGAGCCACTGCACCCGGCCATGAACTCTGAATTCTTAGAATGAAAGGTCATGTAACTTTCAAATTGTTTAAATTAAAAACGAAGACTTTCTCATCAGCTTTCTATAGTTATTACTGTAATCTAGCTCAAGGCTTCTGACAGTTCCTAAGATAAGCAGAGTCAGGGTGTTTTATTGCCTTTCTAGCAATTGTCATCAGCTTTCTGAGCGATAAGAGCCTCTGCTTCCTCTCTTCCTCCACAAGCCAGACAGGAAAGAAGAGCTGTGTTGCTAAATAATGCCATTCGGTGTTCAAAGAAGCATGTCTCAGAAACCTCTAAGGGACTCACCATTTCCTGTGTATTGAAAGTCTGTCTTGGCTGGGCACGATGGCTCACACCTGTAATCCCAGCACTTTGGGAGGCTGAGGTGGGTGGATCACCTGAGGTCAGGAGTTCAAGACCAGCCTGCCCAATAAGGTGAAACCCCATCTCTACTAAAAATACAAAAATTAGCCAGGCGTGGTGGCGGATGCCTGTAATCCCAGCTACTCGGAAGGCTGAGGCAGGAGAATCACTTGAATGCGGGAGGCAGAGGTTGCAGTGAGCCAAGATCGCGCCACTGCACTCCAACCTGGGCTTCAAAGTGAGACTTCATCTCAAAAAAAAGAAAAAAAAAAAAAAAACCAACAACAACAGTAAAAGGCTGTCTTTACCTAGTACAGAAGTTCTTTATAATCTTTTTCTGATTTACCATTTCAGCTTTATTTAACCACACATGAACCTTCCATTCTAGGTAAGTTAGTCTGTCTAGAATTTTCTCATCTCTCTACTTTTTTTTCATTAATTTTTTATTATCATAAAATATACATAACATAAAATTTACTACTTTAAATTTTTAACTACTTAAAGTGTACAATTCAGTGTCATTAATTGTACACTTAAAGTGGTTAAAATTTTAAAGTGGTAATTTTTTTTTTTTGAGACAGAGTTTCACTCTTTTGTTGTCAATTTTAAATGTACTTAATGTCATTAAATACATTCACAGTAATTGTGTAGTTATCACCACTATGAATCTCCAGAACTTTATCATCCCAGACTGAATAATCTAATTGGAATTGATATCAACTTACTTCAGTCCCATACAAAACTGTGCTCCTGGCCAGGCGTGGTGGCTCACGCCTGTAATCCCAGGAATATGGAAGCCAAGATGGGAGGATTGCTTGAGGTCAGGGCAACATAGTGAGACCTTGTCTCTACAGAAAATAAAATTAGTTGGCTGTGGTGGTGCATACCTGTAGACCTAGCTACTTGAGAGGCTGAGGCGGGAGGACTGCCTGAGGCCAGGAGTTCGAGGATGCAGTGAGCTATGATCACACCAATGCACTCCAGCCTGGGAAACAGAGACACTCTGTCTTTAAAGACACAAATAAAATTCTGGTCCTATACAGCTCCATTCTCTCCTCTGCCTTACCCTCACTTTTTTTTTTTTTTTTTTTTTTTGAGATGGAGTCTTGCTCTGTCATCTAAGCTGGAGTGCAGCAGTGCAATCTCGGCTCACTGCAACCTCTGCCTCCTGGGTTCAAGTGATTCTCCTGCCTCAGCCTCCCAAGTAGCTGGGATTACAGGCGCCTGCCACCACACCCAGCTAATTTTTGTATTTTTAGTGGAGACAGGGTTTCACTGTGTTGGCCAGGCTGGTCTCGAACTCCTGACCTCAGGTGATCCATCCGCCTCAGCTTCCCAAAGTGCTGGGATTACAGGAGTGAGCCACTGCACCTGGCCCATTCTCACCCTGTTATGTTATTGATGTCACAAACTGTATCAGAACTCCCCCTGTTATGTTATTGATGTCACAAACTATATCTTTATACATTGTGTATCTACTAACAGATTCATAAATTCTTTTTTATGCATTTGTCTCTTAAATTCTATAGAAAGTATAAAGTGGAGTTGTAAACAAAAATTACAGTAATACTGGTTTTTACATTTGTCCATGTATTTACCTTTACTGGAGATCTTTTTATCTTCATATGGCTTTCAGTTACTGTCTAGCATCCTTTCATTTTAACCTGAAGGACTCCCTTTAGCATTTATTGTAGGGTAGATCTAGAAGTAATGAACTCCCTCAGCCTTTGTTTGTCTGAGAATATTTTAATTTCTCCCTCATGTTTTTGAAGCACAGTTTTGTCAGGTATAGAATTCTCAGTTGACAGGTTTTTTTTTTCCTTCCAGCACTTTAAATATATCATTTCATTGCCTTCTGACCTTCAAGTTTCTGCTGAGAAATCCATTGATAATCTTATTAAGGATTGATTATATGTCACAAATTGACAAGTTGCTTTTCTTCTTGCTTGCTATTTTAAAGATTATTGCAACAGTTTGATTATAATGTGTCTCAGTGTGAGTCTTTTTGTGTTTATCCTACTTGGAGTTCATTGAGCTTTTTAGATCTGTAGATGCAGATATTTTATCAAATTTGAGTTTTCTTCTTAGTCTGCTTCTTACTGCTGTTTTGCCAACATCTTCTGTGCTTTCTTACGTAAGCTCTCTCTAGTAGAAATACCATTTTCTTACCTGACATTTACTCTTTCCTTCAAGGCTTAGCTGAAGTCTCTCACCTCCATCACACAGTATTCTCAGACTGGAGTAATTTATATTGTAAATATGACATTATTATCTGCACAGCTCACTTTGCAATTAATCATCCTGCCTTCAGTGATACCAAGGAGGCCTTTTCTGACCTCCTTCAGGGAGAGTCAAGTTCCCATTCTCTGTGTTCCAATAGCACCTTACCTGTCCCACAGTGCTTACCTGTTGTAGCACCTAGTACACTGCATTGTAATTATCTCTTTATATTCTTATCCCCAACCCCTCACACCAGGTGTGTGTTCACATACACTGAATTAAGAGCTTCTTAATGACAGGTGCCTATCTCACTGGTTTTATGTACCTCCTAAGTATAGCATAGTGACAAGTATGTAATAGGATTCAGTATGTGTTATTGAGTAAGTAGATAAGTTGTATAGTGGTATATTAGGTTTTATTGTGTATTTTCCCTATCGCTCTTCATAGCAATCCCATATATGGTTTGTAAAGTAGATATTCATTTTATAGCTGCAGAAACTAGAGCTTATAAAGAGTTTGTTGGTGTTTAACTTTTTATTTAGCATCTACTATGTAAACTGGGTATGCTGGCATAAGTTATGTAATCCTGTATGCAGTTGTGAGATACAGGTTTTATTATCCCTCTTTGAAGAGAAGAAAACGGAGGCTTAAAAAAGATGAAATGACCTACCTAACTGGAGCTGGTTTAGGCAAAAAGAATTTGATGACCCCTATATAATTGGAAGAGTAAAGGTATAAGTGGGCGGGAAGGAGGGTTAGAAAGAGAACAAATAGGATGTGTATATATATGTATGTATATATGTATATATATGTGTGTGTATATATGTGTATATATATATGTGTGTGTGTATATATATATATATAGAGAGAGAGAGAGAGAGAGACAGATTTATTTTAAGAAATTTTTAAGATTGTGGGAGCTGGCAAGTCCGACATCTCTAGGACAGGCTGGCAGGCTGGAGACCCAGTGAAGAGTTTATGTTGCATCTCAAGTTTAAAGGCAATCTGAGATAGAATTCCTTATTCCTTGGGAGACCTCATCTTTTCTTAATGCCATCAAGTGATTGGATGTGGTCTACCTACATTATTGAGGGTAATCTGCTTTACTCAAGCCTACCGATTTAAATGTTAATCTCACCTAAAAAATACCTTCACAGTAACATCTAGGGTCGTGTTTGTCCAAATATCTGGGTACTGTGGCCTAGCCAAATCAGCCCATAAAATTAAGTATGACAGGAGGTGACAGGAGCCAGGGCTTGCTACCTAGAATGCTAGCTTTTTATCAGTTCCAAATAAAGGCATCCTAGATGAAGATTCTGACTGCTTTGGCATTGGTCACAGGCTCATTCTTGAATTAATCTCTGTGATTGTGTGGTGGGGTACTTTGGCTAAGCTTCGACCAGGAGCCAATTTCTGGACAGTCATTGCCCAGAGAGATGGCATCTTCTGTTTGAACTATATGAGTAGAAAGACATTAGAAGAGGCGGAAAGAGAAGCAATCTCCTAAAAGGACTGCTGAACCCTAGAAGGAGAGAGAGTCGGTCAGAACAAATAGCTTACATCACCACTACAGTGATGTAAGGTGACTTGTGACAGAGTTTGTATTTAGTATTTAGTAACCTATTTTTCTCCAAATCTGATGGTTTCAAAACCATATAATGAATTTCTAAAAGTAGAGAGTAGATAGGTTATTTTGAATGATATTGAGATAAGATTTTGGGGGCAGAAATTTTAGTGTTTACATTATTTATTCTGTAACTATATTAGATCAGTGTTTTCTAACCTTTTTTATAACCCATAATTCCTTTTAACAAATTTAAAAACTACTTCACTGTTGTTTAAAATTCTAAGTAATGTTAATATTTAGGCTCAATATTAATTACTTGACATCTTACATATTTTGCCTTGCAAATCCTAAGATGATAGAGATATTAACATCCACATATGAAAAATAAGACTAGGGTTCTGAAAGGTTAAGTGACCTGATCAGAGTGAGAAAAACTATTTCTCAGAAGAGCTAGATTTTTCTCTGTTTGCTTGTGAGAGAGATTGACAGTTAAGCTACTTAATGATACCATTTTTATGGTGAAATGTACTCCAAGAGAATTTTTATAAATAAGTTTCAGGATTGGAAAATACAGCTTTGTGAGTTTTCACAACTTTGTAGTTTCTAATAGTTTCTAGTTTTTAATGTTTTCTGGTTACGAAATAGTGGATGCTGCTGTTTAGGAAAAAAGACATAAAACTGTGTTTCTGGGAAGGACTTTGAAGATGATTTTATCTTGTCTTTGATAATATTGGAATTGCATCAAAAACTGAGACAGATGGCTTACACCCTACTGCCTGTACATAGAGTCTAGGAAAATGGAAGTGGATTGCATAGACTCAAGGTCCCTCAGCCTAACTGTCCTTGTGAATAACTTGACCATTTCATATTAGATTTATGTATTTATGAACCTTAGGCTTCTGAAAGCCTAGCTTGGGATTTGCTTTCCTTGATGGTTCAAATTCACCGCTCCATGGAATCAGAACTGTGAGCCTTTGGAATACCAGGGAGGTTTATTCTTGGCTTGTTCTTTATAGCTTTGGTACTTGTGGATTCCTCAGGATGTGTAAGCATCTTAAAAATGAAAACCTGAAAGATAGTCTAAAATAGAGGATGAGTAGGATCATTTCATTTCCCTTTTCTGGAGATTACTAAGGTGAAGGTAATAGCTTTTCCTGTCATGACATCCAAGATGAGTGGTGGTTTGGGCAAAATGCTCACACACCTTTTTTTATTTTATTTTATTTTTTTTTGAGACAGAGTCTGACTCTGTTGCCCAGGCTGGAGTGCAGTGGCCTGATAGCTGCTCACTGCAGCTTCCGCCTTCTGAGTTCAAGTGATCCTCCTGCCTCAGCCTCCTCAGTAGCTGGGACTACAGGTGTGCGAGACCACACCCAGCTAATTTTTGTATTTTTAGTAGAGACAGGGTTTACCACATTGGCCAGGCTGGTCTCGAACTCCTCACCTCAAGTGATCCATCCACCTCGGCCTCCCAAAGTGCTGGAATTACAGGTGTGAGCCACCACACCCAGCCTCACACACCTATTTTTGAAATAATGTCTTATATCTGTCTTATCTACCTATATTGGTGGGCTCCTTGAGAAGTTGCATATAAATATTACTTCTTATTGTGGCACAGATCCTTAAAGAGAATTGCTTTTAAATTACTAGTGTTAAAAATAATGCTTGTATTGATTATGTGTCCATCAACTGTAGAAAAATATACATGTTCAAAATTAGGGAGAATATAAGAAATATGGTCAAGTATCCTAAGTGCACACAAAGATATGTTTAGATATTTTTATTTGCCTGAAATGAGAAGAATAGTTATAAAGGTTAAGAATCATTGCAAGACAACAGAATAACATTTGAGCATCTCTGAAACTGTAAACTAGGTCAAGAAAATTACTTGATTTTCAGTCTGATATACAGGACAAGTTTTCAGTCATAATTTTTTTAATAGAAAGTGATATAATTGAACATTTAATTCTTTTTAAGTTTTCTGTTTAGCAATATATGTTATACTACTTGGTTGTGCTAATAAAAGGAATATTGTAAGACCAGAATTTTATTAGATAAACATGAATCAAAAGTTAAATTTAATTGATCTTCTTACTAAGAGGAATTAATGCCTAAAGATCTCCATATTTTTTTTTTAGTTGGGAATGGTCTTCAGGATATGATTAGAGATAACACCATCCTTTCCTCCCCTTCCTCTTCCTCCCCCATAGACCCCAAATTATGAAGAGAAATTTGTAGTCCTCAAGCTTCCTCCATTTTACCCAAACATAGACTGTGTTTGCTGTTTAGAGCTGAGTCCTTTGTAATCTGTTTTGGATTTTCACCAAGTGAGCTTCCTTCCTTTGCTCTCCCATCTTTCTGCCTTGGCTACTTTGAGTCAGCTCACTGGCTTCTTGTAGCCCTGTTTTCCTGCATGCACACTTGATCTGAGCAGACACTGTCAGTGACAGCAGTTAGCAGCAGAGCAGAAAGAATTCAGTACAAATGTGTGCACTGCTGATCTGTGACACTGTAGTGTTTTCTATTTTTGTTATTATCTACTTTCAGAAACCAGGAGCTGAGTTGATACTGACCTTGTGTGGAATGCCTCTGAGGATTTGGGATGGGGGGAGGGTGCTAGATTTTCATGTGACTTATCTCTAACATGCTGCAGCAAGACTGAAAACATTCATCTGCTCACATAAGGAGGAAAGAAAATTTCCAAGATTGAGCTTGCAGAATTTGTTGGGTATTTTCAGAAATTTTTCCCCGTGTTTTTGTATTTCTTGAATTTGCTTAATTTATATAAGGGTTGGAGGTGGGGGATGGTCTTTGCATGATAAATAGGTTGAGGTATGGAAGGATCGGGCTGCAACAATGATTCTCATGGTAAGGGACTGTTTAAAATCACAACATCGCGACCCACATTGCGACCCATCTGACAAACGGTTAGTGAGCTCCTTGGCCATCTCAAATGTTTAAAAGTAACAGTGTACAAATAGCTTTATTTGTATGCTTTCTTCCATAGACATCTTAAGAACATTGTGCCTACGTATCCAAAACAGTTGATTTTTGTCTACATTTAAAATCTCACCTCAAGAAGGTGAGAAATATAAATGAAGCATGCAGTTGTCCCTTAAGTATCTGCTTTGGTATAATTTTCTCACTTTCCTTTATGCTGGAGCTAAATGGAGCCTGAGCTTACATTTTGGGTTATGTCTGAGATGGAAACTGAAATGTAGTCTTGAAGCTCGAAGGAGAAACTTGGCTATACTAATCTGGAGGACTTGTTAAATGCTGTCTTCCCTTCTCCATGTTGCCGCCTTTTACCTTTCCCTGCGACCCCAGAAATGTACTGCTGCAGAATTCTTTGAGCTTTTTCTCTCATTTTGTAGAAAAGAAAGTGAAGGGAGGTGTGTGTGTTTGTGTGTGCGTGTGCACGCATGATTTCAGTACAACTACAAATGGGCAGTTAAATTGTTACATCAAAAGTGACAGCTTTATTTTGCAATTCTGAATCTAAGGTTGCTTGGGATTCGTTCATAGCCACTCAGGCCTGATTAAAGCATATAAGAATTTAGGTAACGATGTTTCAAAGTAAAAGCGGAGCCCAGCATGTTTGATTTGAAGAGCAGAAGAGATAAATGCTGCTGTGGTTCTTTTTTTACTTTATATATACTGTTTGTATATTTGATCAATTGGATTTGATATATGGTCCTAAAATAGCTTTTTTTGAGATGTAATTTTTGATAGAGCAAATTGCCTGTGTATTAATAATCTTTCCCATTTTCTCTGTTGTTTCATTCTAAAATTGATGCACACCAGTGATTTAAGGGGAAATTAACACTTCAGTAAATGTCTTTTTCCTTAGTATTGTTGACTGTTTTTATTAGCCATTTTCATTTAATTTGACAGTGGTACCTAAGGGTTAACCTTACAGAGCTGATGCAACCCCTCCTTTTCTTTACCAGCAATTTTCATTGGACACTATTTCCATAGCAACAGTGACATCAGTGAAACCTGAGTGTTTCATTGATTATTTTTCTCCTCTTCCTTTTTTAATCTATCCTCTTTTCACCACATTTTAGTGAGAAAGCAATTTTTTTTTTACAAATGGAGCTTATATTGATTTTTATTTCATAAATAATTGAAAGAGGGTAGAAAAATCTGCCCTTCATTTAAAAATTGAATGTTTCACTATGTATTTAAAAAGCGATTCAGGATTAGGAGGATGGATAACCATACCAGCTGTAGCTGATGTTCTAAAATATTCTTGCATTGTTTGCTGGTCTTCTAGGGAAAAGAATAATGTGGAACAGGACCTTAAGGAGAAGGAAGATACTATTAAACAGAGGACAAGTGAGGTTCAGGTAAGTGACCATAAAATTTAGTGTTCCACTGCTGATTTAGGACTATTCATTTTAAATTTATATGGTTATTTACTATTTGCTGGATGTAGTATTAGGTCAAGAGAATGCCTAATGT
Source organism: Homo sapiens (assembly GCF_000001405.40). Taxonomy (NCBI): domain Eukaryota; kingdom Metazoa; phylum Chordata; class Mammalia; order Primates; family Hominidae; genus Homo; species Homo sapiens. Next base: position 51,421,670 of record NC_000001.11, on the reverse strand, counting down.
TTATATTATATAAATGTTTATCTTTTCCAAGATGATTGTTCTTGCTTGGAATTCTGGCCTGCAAAGATTATACTGCAATGAGAAAGCAGTATTTTTCAGCATAGATTTCTAGTTTTGAAAGTATTTTTTAAATGGTACTTACCTGCATATTATATCATTAAAGGGGTAAGTTTGCATGACTTACAATGTTAATATTTTTGCACCAGTAAAATTAGAGTGAGATCATCATCTCATCATCATCATCATCATCATCATCAAAAACCAGTATGCTTTTTCATGCATGTGAGGTTTTTGTTAGCTAGGAGACCTAGTATGTTAAAGGACTGTTTCTCATAATACTTGTAGGGTGGGAGATGATACAGAACAATTTAAAGTAGCATTTTATGAGTAGCTTAGTAACCAGCATATCTTAAACTTTGGCATAAAGAGCTTTAGTTCATTTTCATTAGGTGTTGTGTTAAATTGTTTCATTTTACAAAGAGAAAGGATGACAAAAACCTCAGTTTTTGTTTGGGAAATGATAAAAATAAGGGAGTAGCAGTGTTTCTAACGTTAGAAATAGAGAAAACTGGGCAGTGCCTCACTTAGAGCAGTAAGCAATGCATGTGGCCATGTTATTGGGGTACTGTTTCCTTAGTGCTGCACCGGCACATAGAGGAGATTGGATATAGAAGCACTGGTAGCAGTTGCTAGTAAGAACTCTTGGATGGGCATTTCTTAATGTGTTGCTTGTATGTTGGATTTTCCTGCTTTTCCTAATAGTTTTAAGTAGGGAAAAACTCTAAATTGTGTTAGGCCCATTGTTTTGTTTTGATGCAGGACATTCATTAGAGATTGTCTGTCTGGTGGACTGTGCTAGGGTGGGGAGAATGATTTACTGAAGAATTGAGGAAGAAGCCAGAGAGACTTCTTGTTGGAAGTTGATTCTCTGATTGGGTGACTACATTTATTATATTTACTTGAATTTTCCTGAAGGCAGTGCAAGTTAAGAGATCATCATCAATATAATTCTCTCTCTGGCAGTGAGGTTAGGTGGGCATAAGAGGGTAAGTTATCTGAATTACATTATTTTGTGCAGTTTTTGAGCTTCTTAGGAAATGCAAAAGAGCCACACATTCTAAGCAGTTATTACTAAAAATAGTTTAAAATGGAAGATAAAATAATCTACACAAGTTTTCATAATTTGAAGAAATAGGTGTAGCTACTGATACAATTTTGGACAGCTTCTAAATTTAGCCAGTTACTGCTTTAAAGTACATAGGTTCTTGTGATAGACAGTATTTTGTTGAGTATATCTACCTGTTGGTTTTTCCCTGCTGCATTTTTTGAGGATGTGAATTTAAATACCCAGTTTAGAAGAGTGCTGAAATTTACATTGTTTCCTTCAGTTTAAATAGGCTATCCCTGAACATTTGGTGTCTTATAATTATAGAAGTTTTGTTGTCCATCAGAATTTCTCCGTGATTTGCTTGCCCTTCTTACTTAGTGGCAATGGTAAGGTGTATGTCTAACCTTAAGCTTTGCAAAATCCAAAATGTGTGATTGGCACAGGAAGTCGAAATGGTTCAATTTTTCCACATAGAGTGCTCTAAGTATAAGTAAGGCATCTTGGGCCATGGTAAGTAAAGACCAAGTAATAATCAATGAAAAAAATAGTGGATTAATTAAAGATTTGGGTTAGTAGATTCATTATTTATTCATTATACACTACAGTTATCTATGTTACGCATGGTAATGAGGTACTAGACTAAGAATGATGTGGATAGTTGACATCTACCAGTAATTAAAACTCTTATATTAGTGATCATTTTCAATTTTCTGAAGCAAAACTTACCATAGGTGGTAATAAGTATATTTCATTACCTATTTTGAGGTAACTCTGATTTACCCATTGGTACTGAGATGTAGACTGGAAATAATATGGATAATTAAAGTCTGTAAATAACTCCAACTCTCAATACTTACTTTCTAATTTCCCTGGCAAAAGGCAACTCACTGGAGCTATTAATAAATGGCAGAATCAAAGAGAGTGTATTTCACTGCTTCTTTCTGATCTACTTTCTAATGGTGATGCTAATGAGAAATGTCAAAATGAAGACATTGGGGAGGAGAAGTAAGGGAATTTTGACCTATCAGTACCTGCCGCACTTGGCTTTTTGAGTGTTCTTGCTTTTCTCCATATTAATAAAGTCACAGTGATAATATGAGCTCATATCTCAAACACAGAAATCAAACTTTTAAAGCCAAAAGCTTTAATTTTTTTTTTGTTTTGTGTTTATGTAGTCTGTCTAATTCAGTTAGAGTAGAAAGTCTGCTATGTAATTAATTTCTGAATTTTTGTTTCCTGTCTGTATTTCTGTTAATTACTGCCTTGAAAACTTTCTGTTTAGGATTTTTTCTTGAAGATGACTTCACATTTTATTTCATGAGATGATCACTGTTAGCTTGTATGAGATATATACCAGTGGATCAAGTTCTGTGGACAAATTAGGCCCAAAGTGATCCAATTCCAAGGGGGAAATGTTGTGAAAAGCCATTTTATCTAAAATGTCTAAGGTTTGGGTGTGTATTTTTTGTTTTGTTTTTCATAAGGGGAGAAAGTAGGCTCACATTCTTCCTACCTTAAAGAATTGCCTATGTATGATCTTATTAAAAATTTTTTTCTTCTGAGTAGTCAACAGATATTTTAGAAATTCACTCTCATATGCCTGGTTTCTTCAGTTTTGAGTAGAACTTTATAGCAACAATTTGATGTCAAACAAACTTGAATTCAGTTCCTAGCTCTGCCACTTCCTAGGTTTGTGATCTTAAGTAATTTAACCATTCTATACTTTAGTTTCCTCTTCTGTAACATGGGATAATAAAAATAACAAACACTTAAGAGCTGATGTAAGAATAAAATGAGATAATGCAGTAAAGTGCCTCACAGAGTGATTGGCACTTGGTAAGTGTTCAGTAAATGTTCTTACTAGCTGTATTATTCCGCACCCTACAATCATCTCTTTATTATCTTCTCTTCACCTTTAAGCTCTTTCTTCTCTTTCTTCACATAGGCCTCTTGGACATAGGACTCTTCAATTTGAAAATACCCCTTCCTTGGCTATTGCTGCCACTTTAACTACCAACTTATTTTGCTCTACTTTTATTGCTTTGTGTGGCCATTTTCCCCCCCTTCCTATCTTTGTAGCAACCCTGTACAGTCTGCTGCTTGCCCATACCACACTGTGCATTTTCTCCCCAGGGCCAAGAATAATCTTAAGGCCAAATCTGTTCGTCCTTCTTGTATTAGGTACTCCTTTCTTGGGTTGTATTCTCCTGGATATCTTCCTACCTCTCTGAACCTTTGCTTCCATTGACTTTGCCAAGGACAGATGGACAGACAGATTGTGTGTGTGTTTATGTGTGTCCTTTCTTTCCTTCTCCATAACCCCTGTCATCCATATGCTGATAACACCCAAATGTTTATCAAGCTCTCAACTCTCCTGAGTGCCAGTCCCACATCTCCAGTTAACCATTTTGGTGTTTATCATTTGAAAATCCGTGTGTCTAAAATGAATCTTATTGAAAAAACTTGGCTTCTGGTTTGAACTTTCCTATTTTTCTTTCTCACTACTGCCACCTGTATCGCCTAATATCTAAAATCTTAAAGTCATATCAGAAGTACTCACTCCATTCGCTCTTGCCTTTCCTCCTAAACCAATTTAGTATCATGACTCTCAGATGTGGGAATCTTTACTGTTGCTCACTGCCACCATTAATGATGGGAGGGTGTCATACCTCAGGTTATTGGAGACAGAGAAAAAGATGAAATACAAACCCTCCTCTTTTTTGACTGTCTGACTCTGTACTCTGTGCCATATATATTCTCCTTCTTATTCCCACTTTTATAACTTTTGTTGTTATAGTCCAGAATGTTCTCTACTTTCCTGCTTATGTGAATTCCACTCATGCCTTAAAGCCTAGCTCATATCCCACCGCTTGTCTTAAACTTTCCCTTCTCTGTCTCTTGGTCCACACCAGTCTTTCCTGTGTTGGAACTCCCAGAGGAAGGAATACGTATCCACTTATATATGGCATGAACCATATGTTACCTGGTAGTGTTAGCTTGGTGTGATGTGTATAGCTTCCAATATCTTCCTTCCTATATATTGTGAGTTCCTTGGGCTTAGAAATTGTGCCTTGGATCATATTTTTCATTATATTTGGCAATATATTGTTAGATGGAGGTAAATTTAAGGAAGCTGTTCACAGCAGAAGTGAATAAACTTTGGTTTTGTGTATACAATTTAAAATAAGACAATATAACTGGAACCCATAGGTAGAAAAGATTGAGAGCATAGTAGTTATCATGAAAAGTCAGACTTCTTGATATTGTTCATATTACCCTCATGTAAAAGAAGCTCCCTATTATTTATGTTTCATCATAAGATTCAGTAATTCAGAGTACTTGTCCATGTTTTTTATTTTAATTCACTTAGTTTTTTTCTTAGATGAAGAGGGATGACTTATCTTAGATAGAAATAAAATTAGATACATGAGCTCAGCATTCTTTTTCTGGCCATAATGCTCTTTAGAACATACTGGGAAGCATATGATTGAGAAATAAAGGCAGTCTGTTAATGGGGTTTTCTAACACCCACCCTAGTTTATTAGGCTTCCTTTCTGTTCATTGACTTAAACATCTTGTTCTATAGTTGATACATTTTTAATGTTAAGAATAGTCCTAAAACTTCCATCAGATAAAACAGTGTATCTGATTATTTCTAATTGTAGGTTAGTTTATAGAGGTTTTCTTTTAAAAATAAATAATTATATAATTATGTATAATATATAAAATATATTACTGATATTGATATGAACTATTAACATGATATGTTTGCATCTGTTTCATATAAAATACAGAGTTAAAAGGTTTAACTTTTCAGATAACTTTTAAAGTAACTTCATCAGTTGTACATCTGACTTGAGTTGCTAAAATGAAAGTTTTATTTTTTCATATGTCTAAAATTCTTAGGTATTTGTTTAAATTTTATTTCCACTACCCCATAGCACTTCATGGGGGATAGAGGGATAGCAGATAATTTGCCATTTTCAGTAACTTCAGTGATTTCTAGAAAACAGGACGTTTTCCTTGAAATTTCTTTTTAAGTAAAGCCAAGATTGCCAGCTCAAATATCCTTTAATTTCTAGATGAGTAACCTCGGATATGGCTTGCTTTGATATTTTTCTAAAATAAACCTTGGCACTATATTGCTCTAGTTTTGTTCACTTCATCCTTGCCATGCTTCAGCTGCTGCTATCTTCCTTTCTTTTGCTGTTGATGGCACTAGTAGGCAAGTAGACCATGATCAGGGGAATAAAGCAGAACTAGGAAAGCATCTGCAAATGTCTTCTGTCATTCACTGGAGGGAATGGCATTTGATAGTGCTGAGTCTGTGCACAGACCCAGGAAAGGATGTTCCCAAGGGCCACGTTTAGGAAAGAGAAAATTACCCAAGTTCAGCAGAAGACACTGTTTGTTAGGAGAACCTTCCACTGCTCTAGTTAAGGGCATGGCGGGGGAGGAGAGAGCAGGAAGAGAGAGAGAGGTACATCTGTTGCCTTAATTTAGTCTCAGGATAAGCAATCTGTACCAAAATAAAGTTGCTAAGTATATCTAGATGCTGATATTGATATTGAAATTGCATTGTGATGGTGGTAGCCTTACAAATAATTTTCCAGTGAAATTTGTTATTAGCATGTATATTTGCATGAGTTCATTTTGATTTTGTGCAGTTTAATAATTTTAATTCTGTATACTGGAAAGGAAGGCCTTTTTGTATGTAGTTTAGTGTTGGAATTTTTTTTTTTTTTTTTTTTTTTTTTTTTTTTTTTGAGACGGAGTTTTGCTCTTGTTGCCCAGGCTGGAGTGCAATGGCACGATCTCGACTCACTGCAACCTCTGCCTCCCAAGTTTAAGTGATTCTCCTGCCTCAGCCTCCCAAGTAGCTGGGATTACAGGCATCCGCCACCACGCCTGGCTAATTTTTTATTTTTAGTAGAGACGGGGTTTTTCCATGTTGGCCAGGCTGGTCTCGAACTTCTGACCTCAGGTGATCTTCCAGCCTCAGCCTCCCAAAGTGCTGAGATTACAGGCGTGAGCCACCACGCCTGGCCCAGAATTTTTATAGACCTTTTTTCATATTTAGAAATAGACATAGAGAGACATTAATTATAATGAATTTTAATATGGACATCGTTCCAGCTTGAAGTTTCTCATTAATGTTAGGTATTTCCTCAGTAACCTTTCCTTTAAGTCCTGTAGTTTTGTATTACTATGTGGATTTTTACTGAAGCTAAGAAATGAAAAAGGGCAGTGAGTCTGGGAAATTTGAATGAATGTGTTTGCTCTTTGGGAGAGAAAGGGCAGAAAGAAGTAAATATTATATTGGTTTGTTTATTTGTCTTCCTCTTACATAAGCCTGTCTTTTGAGGTTGTGTTTAAGTGGCTCACTAAAAATATTATTTATGAAAAATAGTTCAGTTTATTAAAGGAAACCAGCATTGATTCTATTATTGGTAGTTCTTACATAAAAATTTAGTCACATCAGAATATTTTTGTATTGGTATTTTTATATTTTATATTGGTAGCAATGTGATACTTAAAAAAAACAGCAAACTTGACATTTTCTGATTATAAAAGTAACATGGGTTCATGGTAAATTTGTAAAATGAAGAAAAGTATGAAAAAGATGTAAAAAGCCTTTCTAGAGAGAGCTATTGTTAACATTTTGCTGTATTTTCTACAAATATGTATAAATTTCTTTATATTAATTTGTGATCATACTGTATATGCCTCTGTATTCAGCTTTTAAAACTTAGTATCATGTCCTAGACATTTTCTTATATTGTGTGACCCTTTTAAGGTAAATTGTGTTTTTTGTCCCTGGATTTACAATAAAAGACATCAAAATTACATCTGGCTTTAAAGATATTATTAGAGACATGAAGTAGATAAAGAATATTTTTCTTTGGGGTATGAGGGAGGGTGGGGAATATGACTAGAGTATTTACTAATGGGGATAGATAACATATTTTTCCTATTCCCACTCTTGAACATTTTTAGTTAAAGGGAAAGAGAAAAAACTTTTTTCCCTCTAGGATTTAAAACATGCTTTTGGGACCAGCATATTGTTATATAAACCTATATAATAATTTTATGAACAAAGTAAGGAATTCAAAATAGATTATATTTTCTTTTTTCTTTTTTTTTTTGAGATGGAGTTTCACTCTTGTTGCCCAGGCTGGAGTGCAGTGGCGCCATCTTGGCTCACTGCTGCAACTTCTGCCTCCTGGGTTCAAGTGATCCTCCTGCCTCAGTCTCCCTAGTAGCGGGAATTACAGGCGGCCACTACCACGCCCAGCTGATTTTTTGTATTTTTAATAGAGATGGGGTTTTACTATGTTGGCCAGGCTGGTCTCGAACTCCTGACCTCAGGTCATCCACCCGTCTCAGCCTCCCAAAGTGCTGGGATTACAGGCATGAGCCACTTTGCCGGCTCAATAGATTGTATTTTCAAACTAACAAAATTACTTTAGATCTGCAGGTAACATTCTTTTAAAATATTTTATAGCTGAACTAGACCAAGCACTGTGGCTCATGTTTGTAATCCCAGCATTTTGGGAGGCCGAGGCGGGCAGATCATTTGAGCCTAGGAGTTTGAGACCACCCTGGGCAACATGGTAAAACCCCATCTCTACAAAAAAATTTAAAAATTAGCCAGGCGTGGTGGCACATGCCTGTAGCCTCAGCTACTTGGGAGGCTGAGGTGGGAAGATTACTTGAGCCCAGGAGGTTGAAGCTACAGTGAGCCGTGATTATACCACTGCATTCTAGCCTGGGTGACAGAGTAAGATCCTGTCTTAAAAAAATAAAGGTATATGCCACAGTGACATGTTAAAGCAGTAATGATTATTTCCAAATAATGAAAGTTTTAAATGTCAGATCAGCCTTGGTCTATAGATTATAAAAATACTGAATCAGTTTAGAAATGTAGGTATTATTTTAAAAAGTTTAAAAAGCATTTGTCATAGGTCAGTTTGGGGTATTAATAAATAGCTATAGTTTAAATACATAGTGAAGTGTTTCACATTATGTAAAAAGAATGTAAGTCTTTTCTTTCTGTCAGTCTCATGCGTGTTTCCCATTAGTTTTTCCCACATACTAAAATCCTATGATAGTTACAGTAATTGCTTAATTAAGCCCCTGGAATGTGCTAGGCATTGTACAAGATTTTGGATAATCAAAGAAAGATGAAGCATGGACACTGTCCTTTAGAAGTTTGTAATTTAGAGGTTAGCTATGATTACAGTGTATTAAGTATGACAGTAGAGGTTAGGAACAAACAGTAGAGTTTGAGCATAGGTGAAGGAAGCCCAAGATGAGTCAGACGAGATTAAATTTGGCTGGATTCTGAAGAATCAATAGTGGGTTTCCAGGTACATATGGTGTGGAAGGACATTGAAGACAGAGGTTATGGCTTGTGGAAAGGCATAGGGTCATTGAAATATGTTGTCTATTGGAGAAGGAATAGGGTCTTCTGAGGCTGGGACACAGGTGAATATGAGAGGAAAAGAAGGTAGAACCCAGAACTGAAGGTTTTAATGTGTCTTGCAGCAAGTTTTACTTAATCCTCTAGATAAGAGGGAACAACACATATTTTAAAAATAACAGTGACTAGAGAAATATCCTTTGCAGTGAGTTATTTTTTAAGCAAGTTGGACATTTGGAATAGGAAGAAACAAAGGGAGAAAACCCAGTTGTATGTCAAGGAAGGAACGATGAAAGCTAAAATAATTTGGTAAACAGCTTAAAGAGAGATTTTAAGGTAGAATCTATAGGACATGTATGAATGGAGAAAATCAAAGATGAATCTGAAGTTACTAGACTGGGTGATACAGAAATTGAAGTCATTTTTCTCTTTTGGCATGGGTTTATTCAGAGCCAATGCCATGTGCATATCTAAAGTCGTATCTCTATATGGTATGGATTAGTTAACAGTGTAGGCAAGGTTAAAAATTTAGACATGAAAAAAATTAGGCATGCTGGTAAATTAATGATAAAGTACTAAAGGAGTTCACCAGTTTGAAACTGTGATCACACAAACTCACGGAATGTTAGCACTGGAAAGTCTTTCATGATCATCTATTGTGTTGGCATTTTTAAAGGAATTTTTAAAATAAATTATAGTAAATAATTGATAAACATTTTTGTCAAAGGAATCAGAAAGAGAACATCTAATTCTTTTTTATTATTATTATACTTTAAGTTCTGGGATACATGTGTGGAACGTACAGGTTTGTTACATAGGTATACATGTGCCATGGTGGTTGGCTGCACCCATCAACCCATCATCTAGGTTTTAAGCTCTGCATGTATTAGGTATTTGTCCTAATGCTCTGCCTCCCCTTGTCCCCCACCTCCCGACAGGCCCCGGTGTGTGATGTTCCCCTCCCTTGTGTCCATGCGTTCTCATTGTTCAGCTCCCACTTATGAGTGAGAACATGTGGTGTTTGGTTTTCTGTTCCTGTGGTAGTTTGCTGAGAATGATGGTTTCCAGCTTCATCCATGTCCCTGCAAAGGACATGAGCTCATTCTTTTTTATGGCTGCATAGTATTCCATGGGATGTATGTGCCACATTTTCTTTATCTAGTCTATCGTTGGTGGGCATTTGCATTGGTTCCAAGTCTTTGCTATTGTGAATAGTGCTGCAATAAACATACGTGTGCATGTGTCTTTATAGTGGAATGATTTATAATCCTTTGGGTATATACCCAGTAATGGGATTGCTGGGTCAAATGGTATTTCTGGTTCTAGATCCTTGAGGAATCGCCAGACTGTCTTCCACAATGGTTGAACTAATTTACACTCCCACTAACAGTGTAAAAGCGTTCCTGTTTCTCCACATCCTCTCCAGCTTCTGTTGTTTCCTGACGGGTTAATGAGAGAACATCTGATTCTTAAGAAACCTAGGCAAAGCAAAACTCTATATAATACAATAAAGAAAAATTCAATTTAGAAGGGGCATAAGCATATTTAACTAAGATTTAAAATGTACTTATTTCCTCATTTAAAATTTCTTCTCCTTCAATATTATAATTTCAAGTCTCTTAAAATAAGGACTGAATTAAAATACAGAAATTGTTTTTCTTCCAGAAATCAAGTGTCCCTGTATCTTAAATTCTCTGTACAGTTCCATTTATCAGTCCTTTGTGCAAGAGTTAGCAATTCATGGCACAAGGGTCACTTTTTGCCTTTCTTTGCAGAGTTGATGATACTCATCAAACATTGTCCGAATTCCTCAAGTATCATTGAGGAATTCAAAGGCTACTGCCTTTGAGTTTCCCTTTTTGTCTGCCTGCTCTGCCTGGGCTTTAAAGGAATTTTTTAAAGAAAGCAACATGATATTTTTAGACTAACCAGTTGGTTAAGAAAATATAAGATAAAAAGCAATTATTGAAAGCATTGTTCAGTGTTCTATTTAATCACAGAAACATCTGCATATATTTGAAAAATAGTGACACATGTGAGACATTTAGTCTGCAGATGGTATGTCACATGGTGGTTAAGAGCTCAGGCTGTGGAGTCAGAACCCACTTTGAATCCATAGCTTACTATTTTTAACTTTGGACACATTACCTACACATCAGTACTTCAGTTTTCTCATCTGTAAAATATGAAATGATATCAGTACCTAACTCGTAGATCTGTCATATAGACTATAAATAAGTTAGTATATTTAAAGAGCCTAGAGCACAACCTAGCACATTTTAAGTAGCATTTAAAGTGTTGGCTATTATCATAATGGTGCTATCTTGTGTAACCTATGCAGTAATTCAGAGACCTTTTACCTGTAAGTTTCTCTTCTGTTCTTAGATTCTTATTCTGGTGAATGACTGTTGGGACCTTTGAATAGATATTATTTTTAGAAATTTGTGTTCAGTTTTACCTCACCCGCTTTGAAATCTTTGCCTACCTCCTGCTGACAGATACTTCGGAGTTATTAATCCCTGAGCCACTGCGCCTGGCTTTTTAAAAATTTCTGTAGTTCTTGTTATTAAGCATGAGGTCTGGTATGTACATGGATGAATAAATAACATTTTCAAAATGGTTCTTTTTTTGTTTTAAGAAATCTTTTCCTACACTGAGATCTGCATTTCTTCTACACATTTTAAAGTTAGACTTTTACATTCAGGTCCATTATTTACCTGGAATTAATTTTTCTTTTTTTTTTTTTTGGAGACAGTGTCTCACTCTGTTGCCCAGTCTGGGCATGCTGTGGCATGATCACAGCTCACTGCAGCCTTGACCTCCTGGGCTCAAGAGATCCTCCCATCTCAGCCTCCCAAGTAACTGGGACCACAGGCACGTACTACCACGTCCAGCTAATTTTTTTTTTTTTGAGATGGAGTTTCACTCTTGTTGCCCAGGCTGGAGTGCAATGCATGATCTCGGCTCGCTGCAACCTCCACCTCCTGGGTTCAAGCAATTCTCCTGCTTTAGCCTCCCGAGTAGCTGGGATTACAGGCATGCGCCACCACGCCCAGCTAAATTTTTTTTTTTTTTTTTGCATTTTTGTTAGAGACAGGGTTTCTCCATGTGGGGTTTTTTTTTGACCAGAGAATCTGAGAGGGGAAAGATTGAGCTTAAAACAGATTTGTGGGGAAATTCCAGGAGTTCTATTTTCAACATGTTAGCAAAGCCCATCACATGTCCAAGGACAGATTTGAGTTAGCAAATTGAATATCTAAATATGGATTCTAGGAAAGATGTCTTCAAGTAAAGATTGTATTTAAAGCTGTTAAGTACCCTAGTCTCATCAACACAGTATACTCAGTAAGACTTTATTCTTTCTTAAGGTAGATTTAAAATTACTAACTTAACCCTCCCCTGCCCGCAAAGAAAATAAATATATTAATTTTCTTGGATTTTAGGATCTTCAAGATGAAGTTCAAAGGGAGAATACTAATCTGCAAAAACTACAGGCCCAGAAACAGCAGGTACAGGAACTCCTTGATGAACTGGATGAGCAGAAAGCCCAGCTGGAGGAGCAACTCAAGGAAGTCAGAAAGAAATGTGCTGAGGAGGCCCAACTGGTAATGTCTGGCTGTTTCCTGCTGCCTGCACCTATACATTAGTTGCTTTTCCTGGCTTAAGATGAAAACATTCTCTACTTTTTGTTATTGATGGTGGTGGTTGGCAATCCAGTCAGCATTTGGGTTCATGGGGGCGATGGAGCAAGGTTCATCCAGAAATTACAGGCCTTCTTTAGAGGAAATAGAAGGGCAGTTAATGAACTGTTTTTCCAAATTTTTGTTGGAAATATGGTGCCTATACCTTCAACTCTCCTCTGTCCCTCCCCCAGTTACCCTTCTTTACGAAAACCATACATCAAAAAACATCATAATTGGCTGGGCACAGTGGCTCACACCTGTAATCCCAACACTTTGGGAGTCTGAGGCGGGGGGAATTGCTGGAGCCCAGGAGTTGGAGACCAGCCTGGGAAACATGGAGAAATCCCATCTCTACAAAAAATATGAAAGCTGGTTGGGTGCAGTGGCTCACGCCTTTAATCCCAGCACTTTGGGAGGCCGAGGCAGGCGGATCACGAAGTCAGGAGATCGAGACCACGGTGAAACCCCGTCTCTACTAAAAATACAAAAAATTAGCCAGGGCGGTGGCGGGTGCCTGTAGTCCCAGCTACTCGGCAGGCTGAGCCAGGAGAATGGTGTGAACCCAGGAGGCGGAGCTTGCAGTGAGCTGAGATCACGCCACTGCACTCCAGCCTGGGCAACAGAGCGAGACTCTGTCTCAAAAAAAAAAAAAAAAAAAATTGAAAGCCAGGCGTGGTGGCCCACATCTGTAATCCCACCTACTCGAGAGGCTGAGGTGAGAGGATCACCTGAGCCTGGGAAAGTTGAGCCTGAAGTCTGAAGTGAGCTGTGATCGTGCCATTGCACTCCAGCCTGGGTGACAGAGTGAGACTGTCTCAAAAAAATAAAACATCAACAACAACAACAACATCAAAAACTCCATAATAGGGCTAGGTATGGCTGGGCATGTTCCTATAGTCCCAGCTACTCAGGAGGATCACTTGAGCCCAGGAGTTTGAATCCAGCCTGGGCAACATAGCAAGACTCTCTCTCTCAAAAATTAAATTAAATAAATTATTTGCTATTGCTGTCAAAAAAAACACCAAAATAGTAAACTAAACAAATAAATGTATTGCATTTTGGAACATTTTAATGACATCTCTTCTTTTAATCCCCATTTCTTCTCATTCACTTTCACATTATAGATCTCTTCTCTGAAAGCTGAATTAACTAGTCAGGAATCGCAGATCTCCACTTACGAAGAAGAATTGGCAAAAGCTAGAGAAGAGCTGAGCCGTCTACAGCAAGAAACAGCAGAATTGGAGGAGAGTGTAGAGTCAGGGAAGGCTCAGTTGGAACCTCTTCAGCAGCACCTACAAGATTCACAACAGGAAATTAGTTCAGTAAGTCTTTGTAAAGCAAGAAATATATTCAAATGGATCCTCTGTGTCCTTTAGTCAGTTATACTTTCCAACTTCTGCTCCTTCAACCTCTTGCCTAGTTTACTGTTCATTTTTCAGTCATTTTATACAATAGGTTTTTTTGTCACCTGTTATATATTGAAACTATCATACATCTTGTATATCTATCTGATGATTATCATTGGAGTAGTGATTAAGAGTGTGGGCTTTGTGGCTAGATGGTCTAGGTTTAAGTACTGGTGTGCCACTTACTAGCTAAATCACCTTAGTATCAGATTCTTCATCTTCAAAATTGGAGGATTAATAAATACCCTACCCCTTAGGGCCACTGTGAGGATTAATGAGGCAAAACCTGTAAGACATTTTAGCATGGTGCTTGGTACATAAATGCTCCATAAGTGTTGCCTGTTTTATAAACAATAACCTAGTTTCTTCTGTTTTGTGATTCTAATTTTGAATTCACATTTGCTAATTTGGAAACTTTTTTCTTAAGGAAATTGTTCCTTCTGTAGATAAATTTGCAGTGTTATAGTTGGTCTTATGTATAGATCCTTTGCTTTATTTCCAGGTTTCCCTACATGAAGACTAATGTTTTAATGAATGATAAGATAGTTAGGGCTCGGCATGGTGGTGGCCCATGCCTGTAATCCCAGCACTTTGGGAGGCTGAGGCAATGGATCACTTGAGGCCGGGAGTTCGAGACCAGCCCTGCCAACATGGCCAAACTCTGTTTCTACTAAAAGGTACAAAAATTAACTGGGCATGGTGGTACCTGCCTGTAATTCCAGCTACTTGGGAGGCTGAGGCACGAGAATCACTTGAGCCTGGGAGGCAGAGGTTGCAGTGAGCTCAGATCACACCACTGCACTCCACCCTGGGCAACAGAGTGAGAATCTGTCTCAAAAAATAAAAACTAAAAAAAAAAGGATAGAAACACAGAGATCATGGAGTTGATTTCTTTCATTATGAATTTGAACAAACTAAAGCCAAGGAAGTTCAAGTAACTTTCTCAAGGTTACATATCCTTGAAAAGAGCTACATCTAAAATCCAGTTCTTCTAAAACCCAGTCCAGTGTGCTCAGTTATTACATATAATGAAGTCCTTCACTTTTGCGCTTCCTTACCCCCTGTTATCTGGCAGCTGAGTACCTACCTACTCATTCGTCATGCAAGATATACCTTAAATTCTTATTTCTTTATGGTATTTTCTGCATCCTGCTTTTGTTGGACTTTGTATTTATGTTACAGCAATAATAAGATTTTTCCCTGCATATTTGCTTATATGTCTGTCTCCCCTAGCAGAGTCATGGTTTTGGTCTGGGAACTTACACATTTTTAAAAATCCGTATCATTTAGCACAGTTCTTGTCCCAGTGTAGGTACTCAATAAACAGGTAACCTGAAAGAGTTGTTGTAGTGAGAATGCTACCAGATGAATGGGTATTCTTTAAAGTATTTTCTTTTTTTGAATCTCTTTAAAAAAAAAATCCATGTATACTAAAATTTCAAGAGAGAAATACTTATTGTCAGAAATTACTGAATCTTTTCTCTAAGTCACGTAGCATTCCCAGAGGATTCTTCTTAAAGGAAGCAAATGTATCCTAGACCAAGTCTACAGGTATAGCCATTTTTATTTTATTTATTTTTTTGAGACAGGGTCTCATTCTGTCACTCGAGTGCAGTGGTGTGATCATGGCTCACTGCAGCCTTGACCTCTGGGCTCAAGTGATCCTCCCATCTCAGCCTTCTGAGTAGCTGGGACTACAGGTGCACTCCATCATGCCCAGCTAATTTTTATATTTCTTGTAGAAATGAGGTTTCACCGTGTTGCTCAGGCTGGTCTTGAACTCCTGGGCTGAAGCAGTCCTCCTGCCTCAGTTTCCCAAAGTGTTGAGATTATAGGCATGAGCTACCACACCTAGCCCGTCAGGAAGTGGAGGAGGGCGTTTTTATGTTACATGTCTTTCTAGTAATAAATTCTGTTCTATATTTCTTCTTTGTGTTGGCAGATGCAAATGAAACTGATGGAAATGAAAGATTTGGAAAATCATAATAGTCAGTTAAATTGGTGCAGTAGCCCACACAGCATTCTTGTAAACGGAGCTACAGATTATTGCAGCCTCAGCACCAGCAGCAGTGAAACAGCCAACCTTAATGAACATGTTGAAGGCCAGAGCAACCTAGAGTCTGAGCCCATACACCAGGAATCTCCAGTGAGTCTAATACTTTCATAACCTTCATAATCAACCTCCTTGTGCAGATCCAAGTTTCACTGACATTATATCTAATATAAATACATGGCCTTGCCTCATCTGAGGACAATTGAGATTTCCTTTTTAGAAGCAGAGAGTCCTAATCCAAACAATTGTACGTTTTAACTAGTATAAAAAGATAACTTTAGCTAATTTTTTTTTTTTTGGAGATGGAGTTTTGCTCTTGTTGCCCAGGCTGGAGTGCAGTGGTGCGATCTTGGCTTACTGCAACCTCCGTCTCCTGGGTTCAAGCAATTCTCCTGCCTCAGCCTCCTGAGTAGCTGGGATTACAGTCACGTGCCACCACACTCAGCTAATTTTTTGTATTTTTAGTAGAGATGGGGTTTCATCATGTTGGCCAGGCTGGTTTCGAACTCCTGACCTCAAGTGACCCATCTGCCTCGGCCTCCCAAAGTGCAGGGATTACAGGCGTGAGCCACCACGCCCAGCCAGCTAATTTATTTTTTGTAGAGCCTGTTTTTAAAATGGTGGTTCTATAGAGTAAAACTTTTTTTTTAAGTACCCTCACCAAAAGCTAAAATTATTTTTATTACGTAGTGTTAAGGACATTCATTTACCAATTATTTGACGAGTACCAACTATGTGCAAGAGTGCTGTATTACATAATATAAGAGCTACAGAGACAAGAGACCTCAGTCTTTCCTTCAAGCAGCCTACAGTGTAGTAGTGTAACACTGTGTTAAAGGGCTGTGCTAAAGGAAGCGCAGAATTTTCAGTTAGGACAGTTTGGAGGGGGTTCATAAAGATTTTGTTGGGGAAAGCTTTGCGAGTTTAGACAAGTGAGAAGTGGTTAAGCAAAGAAGAGGAGGATACATTCCTGCCAGAGAAAACAGTATTAGTATAGGTACAAGGTGGAAGAATACATGCAGCACAGAATCTTGAGAAGTTCTGAAGGATATCTTGTGATGGTGGAGAGGGTATTGGTAAGAGATGAGGCGCTTCTAGTAGGCATCTGCATTACCTCTGGTGATTGTCAAAGTATAAATGTGTATCCCTTTCCCCAAACTTGCTGAACTAGTTTCTGGGATAGAGCCAGATATGTATATTTTAAAAACACACTCTATGGGTGATTGTCATGTGCACCTGGATAAAAATGACCAATTTTAGGTCAGAAAGTGCCAGAAGATGAGAAATTTAGATTCATCTTAAAGCATTGGGGGATTTATCCTACTGCAATGAACAGCCATTGAAGAATTTTAAGCAAGAAGTGACGTGATTAACTTTTAGAAATGTGGAAAACGGATTAGAGAGTGAGACTGTACCCGTAGAAGGGATAATGAGAAGAATAGAAGTTTGAGAGGTATTAAAAGTGAAAAGTTAACAGACTCGATTTTATTTACACAGTGCAGTCATGTATGCATTATAAAATATTCTTTCAAGCGCAAAAGGCAGATTACTAGGTTATCCTGCAAATAGATAAGGGTGGTATAAAGTAGCTATTGCCCTGCTACTTTTTTTTTTTTTTTTGAGACGGAGTCTCGCTCTGTTGCCCAGGCTGGAGTGCAGTGGCGCAATCTCAGCTCACTGCAACCTCTGCCTCCTGGGTTCAAGCTATTCTCCTGCCTCAGCCTCCCGGGTTTAAGCTATTCTCCTGCCTCAGCCTCCCGAGTAGCTGGGACTACAGGCGTGTGCCACCACACCTGGCTAATTTTTTGCATTTTTAGTAGAGACGGGGTTTCACCGTGTTAGCCAGGAAGGTCTCGATCTCCTGACCTTGTGATCTGCCTGCCTCGGCCTCCCAAAGTGCTGGGATTACAGGTGTGAGCCACTGCATCCGGCCTGCCCCTACTACTTCTTAAGTCTTTCACCCACTCGTCTAAATGAAGAAGACAATGGGAAGCCATTGAAGGACTTTTAACCAGAAGGGTCACGATCACATCCACATTTTAGAGCTATTAGTTTGGCTACAATAAGGAGAAGAGATTGGAAATACATGTATTGGAGGCAGGAAAGCAGTTGGAAGGAAGACTGCTATAGTAATTGGAACCAAAGATGATAGTACTATAAGTGATTGATAGTGACAGTGAGGATGGAGAAGAAGGCAAGGATTTGAAAAAGAGGTAAGAGGTAGACTGAGCAAGACTTGGAGTCATATTCTGAGGATTAAAGATGACCTGAAGGTTTCTGACATGAGTGACTTTGATGCTTGATGACACCATTTCCCTAAAAAAGATTATAGAAGGAGAAGTTATTTGATGAATACATTCTGCTTGTCTTTTTTTATTTTTAAATAGTTTTTGGTTATCTTTAGTCAGTTTTCTCTGCCATGTCAAAAAGTATATTGTTAATCTACTTGCATTAATATTTTGTAGGCAAGAAGTAGTCCTGAACTACTGCCTTCTGGTGTGACTGATGAAAATGAGGTGACTACAGCTGTTACTGAAAAAGTTTGTTCTGAACTCGACAATAATAGACATTCAAAAGAGGTAAAAAATGATTTTATATTTACATTGGGGACTTGTAAGGGTGGAAGGACAGGAGGAGGTGAATTATCAGACATTACTTAATGGGTACAATATACATTATTCAGATGATAGATACATCAAAAGCCCCGACTTCACCTTTAGGCAATATAGCCATGTAACAAAATTCCACTTGTGCCCCTTGAATTTATACATATAAAATAAATAAATGTTCTTAATAGCTGGATGTGGTGGCAAGTGCCTGTAGTCCCAGCTACTCAGGAGGTGAAGTAGGTGGATTGCTTGAGCCTGAGTTGGAGGCACTAGGCAACATAGAGGGACCTAATCTCTAAAAATTAAATGATATTTTAAAAAAATGTCCTTATCACTGTTTTCCTCAGATGAATTATACACTATTTTAGGTGAAGGAAAGAGAAAAATATGTTAAGGTGAAGGAAAGAGAAAAATGTGTTAAAGGTGCTTTATGACTAGAGAGATATTTGTTACATTACCATCAGTTGATTTTCCTTTTGTTTTCAAGACCAAGTCTCACTCTGTCACCCAGCCTTGAGTGCAGTAGTGTGATCTTGGCTCACTGCAACCTCCACCTCCCAGGTTCAAGCAATTCTCCTGCCTCAGCCTCCTGAGTAGCTGCACATGCCCAGCTAATTTTTGTGTTTTTGGTAGAGACGGGGTTTCACCATTTTGGCCAGGATGGTCTCTATCTCTTGACCTTGTGATCTGCCCACGTCAGCCTCCCAAAGTGCTGGGATTACAGGTGTGAGCCACCGTGCCTGGCCCATCAGTTGATTTTTCAAAGCATGTGTATGACCTGAATGTGTGTTATTTTATTTTAAAATGTTACCTTTTAAAACTTTGGTTTCTAAAAAATAATTTTAATTTAAAATTATTTTTAGGAAGATCCATTTAATGTAGACTCAAGTTCGCTGACAGGTCCAGTTGCAGATACAAACTTGGATTTTTTCCAGTCTGATCCTTTTGTTGGCAGTAAGTACTCTTTTTTTTATATTATAGATTTACCCAAAAAAAAGACTTTTTAATATATAAACTAAGGATTCAAGGCTTCAGTTTCAATAGCCTACCAACTCAGTCTGTCGCCCAGGCTGGAGTGCAGTGGCACGATCTCGGCTCACTGCAACCTCCGCCTCCTGGGTTCAAGCGATTCTCCTGTCTCAGCCTCTTGAGTAGCTGAGACTACAGGCGCCCACCACCACACCCAGCTAATTTTATGTATGTATGTATGTATGTATGTGTGTATTTATTTATTTATGTAATTAATTTATTTAGAAATGGAGTCTCGCTCTGTCGCCAGGCTGGAGTGCAGTGGCACAATCTCGGCTCACTGCAACTTCTGCCTCCCGGATTCAAGCTAATCTCCTGCCTCAGCCTCCTGAGTAGTTGGGATTGCAGGTGCCTGCCACCACACCCAGCTAACTTTTGTGTTTTTAGTAGAGGCGGGGTTTCACCATGTTGGCCAGGATGGTCTCCATCTCTTGACCTCGTGATCCGCCCACGTTGGCCTCCCAAAGTGCTGGGATTACAGGCGTGAGCCACCGCGTCTGGCCTAATTTTTGTATTTTTAGTAGAGACTGGGTTTCACCATTTTGACCAGGCTGGTCTTGAACTCCTGATGTAAGGTGATCCGCCTGCCTCGGCCTTCTAAAGTGCTGGGATTACAGGTGTGAGCCACTGCGCCTGGCCTGCTTTGTATTTTCCTACTGACTAATGTTGAACATCTTTCTAGATGCTTATTAGCCATTTGTGTATCTTCTTTGGAAAAGTGTTTATTCAATTTTGGTGAAGTCCAGTTATCTATTTTTTCTTCTGTCACTTGTGCTTTTGGTGTCATCTAAGAAACTATTACCTAAGTCGCAAAGATTTAATGCTGTCTTTGTCTAAGAGTTTTATAGTTTTGCTGTTACAGTTAGATCTTTGATCCATTTTGAGTTTATTTTTGTATATGATGTGAGATAGAGGTCGAGCTTCATTCTTTTGCAAGTGGATATCCAGTTGTCCTAACACCATTTGTTGAAAAGACTGTCCTTTCTCCATTTTGTGTTCTTGATACGCTTGTCAAAAATCAAATGACCATAAAGGTAAGGATTTATTTCTGGACTCTTCAATCCTGTAAGAATTTTTTTTTTTTTGCTTCAGTAAAGCTCAGTACCTTTATTTCTGAACTGGTGATGATAATACCCTCCCAGTACTCTTGTGGAGAGTAGAGATTTTGTTAGTAAAATTTTTGCTGTAATGTCTTCCCCTCCATCCGTAACCTCAACTTGTGATCAAGGTAAGTATAGTTGGCTGTATATTTCATAAGGTCAATGACATTCCTTATTTTATCTACTGTGAAGTGAAGTTATTGAAATAAACTTTGCTTTGCTTTTGTTTGAAAGTTACTCTTTAAGTAGTGGTGTCACCACAGTAAATATTGTTATTTGGATTTCTTTGTGTTTATTTTATCACAGGTGATCCTTTCAAGGATGATCCTTTTGGAAAAATCGGTCAGTATCTTATTGAGTTTCATCTTAGCTTTCATTCATTTCTGCTTAATAATAAGCTTATGTTATTTAGGTCTGAAACTGAAGCCCCAGTAAGATGCTCTATGTGCCTGGCATTTTCAGAAAGAGAGTAGTAAATTCTTTTGATTTTGCTTAATGAATTGTTGCTTTACTTTTACTTCTTCTTTTTTTTTTTTTTTTTTTTTTTGGTGTTTTTTGTTTTTGAGACAGGGTCTTATTCTGTCACCCAGGCTGGAATGCAGTGGTGTGATCATGGCTCACTGCAGCCTTGACTTCCTGGGCTCAAGCAATCCTCCTGCCTCAGCCTCCTGAGTACCTAGGTCTACAGGCTCATGCCAGCATACTTGACTGATTTTTTTTTATTTTTTGTAGAGACAGGGTCTCACTGTGTTGCCGAGGTTGGTCTCGAACTCCTGGGCTCAAGCAGTCCTCCTGCCTCAGCCTCCCAAAGTGCTGCGATTACAGACAGGTGTGAGCGACTGTGCCCGATAGCTTTACTTTTTTAAAAATGACATTAGTGTTTAGACTTTGGTGCTTTAAATATTTATTCTGATTCCTCCTTACTAACTAAAGGTTTGGTGAGCATAATGATCTATACTGCTTCAGGGTTTAGAATGTAATTTTGTTTTCCTAAGATTATAGCCCACACGTGTGATTAGAGGCAGAGAATCTTGAAGAATTACTAAAACATCAGGCTTTTTGAGATATTCTTTTTCTGGGAATTTTCATTAGAATAATGCAAATCTTGTTTACCATTTAGTTTTGCATCCCAAACCTGTTCTAAACTATTGGCTGTTAGCTTTGAGCTCAGAGAGAAAAATACATTTAGAAGTTTTTATTGTGTTTTCTTTAGTTACGGTAGCGTAGAATAAGGGGACTTAAAATTGGATCCCTTGAAATTATATGTTAATTTTAAAAATAAGTTTATTAGGTGGAAGGTTCTGTATCTTTTATCAAAATTGCAAAGGAGTCTGTGAAATAAAAAGTACTCAGCTTAGATTCTACAGTATTTCAAACTGTCTTTTTGGATTTTTTTTTTGAGACAGTCTTGCTCTGTTGCCCAGGCTAGAGTACAAGTAGTGCGGTCTTGACTCACTGCAACCTCCGCCTCCCATGCTCAAGCTATTATTCTCATGCCTCAGCCTCCCGAATAGCCAGGATTACGGGCGCGCACCACCACGCCTGGCTAATTTTTGTATTTTTAGTAGAGACAGGGTTTCACTGTGTTAGCCAGGCCGGTCTTAAACTCCTGAGCTCAAGTCATCCGTCTACCTCAACCTCCCAAAGTGCTGGAATTACAGGTGTGAGCCACTGCACCTGGCCCAAACTGTCTTTTTGTTTGTTTGTTTTTGAGACAGGGTCTCACTGTCACCCAGGCTGGAGTGCAGTGGCAGATCTTTGCTCACTGCAGCCTCTGCCTCACAGGTTCAAGTGAGTCTCCCACCTCAGCCTCCCGAGTAGCTGGGACTATAGGTGCGCACCACCATGCCTGGCTAATTTTTGTGTTTTTTAGTAGAGAGGAGGTTTTGACATGTTGGGCAGGCTGGTCTTGAACTCCTGACCTCAAGTGATCTGCCTGTCTCAGCCTCCCAAAGTGGTGGGAATGCAGACGTGAGCCACTGCACCTGGCCCCAGACTGTCTTTTAATTAAGGCACTGATCATACCTTCAAGTGATGGGAAATTTAGTGCAATAATTTTTTTTTGTCTCTTATATTCGTGCCTTATTTTTTTAGATCCATTTGGTGGTGATCCTTTCAAAGGTTCAGATCCATTTGCATCAGACTGTTTCTTCAGGCAATCTACTGATCCTTTTGCCACTTCAAGCACTGACCCTTTCAGTGCAGCCAACAATAGCAGTATTACATCGGTAAGTGGGAGAATTAAAAACTGTTAAGTTAAATGGATAATAAGTGTCCTAAGCAAGTTTCTTGAAATACATAGTGATGAAAGAACCCTCATTTAGATTACTTCTAATGGACCATATAAGAATTTCAGTCTCATCCCAATTCATTTAGTTTTTGGTTCAGACTGGTATTTCATAGTTTGATTACCCACTGGAATTAACTGGAATGACTGAACGGAGTCCAAAAGTGATGTTCATCTTTCAAGAGACTAAATCTTATCCTATTGAGGATACTAAAAATGATTGGAAATTTATAAGCCAATCTTACATAAAACTTTTCTGAAATGTTTGGTATATTATTGAAATAATGAAAATTAAAAGAATTTTAGAAAAATAAAATCGTTTATGTTATTTCATAGACACATCTGGAATGTTAATTCTGCAAAGTACAAATTCTCACTAAATGTCAAGCTCTCTTGAGAATGTACATACCTACAGCAATCACTGTTTAATAACCACATGCCTGATCCAGGTACTGGTGTGTGCTTTACATTCATTGTTTCTAATCTTCACATCAATTTTGCAAAGTAGGTGTTGATATCCCTATTTTAAAAATGAGGACACTGGGACTTAGAAAAATTAACATGTTTAAGGTCCTATAGCTAGTTGCTGTTTTATCTGGAGGCTTTAAAAAAATCTTCATGGCTGGGCGCGGTGGCTCACGCCTGTAATCCCAGCACTTTGGGAGGCTGAGGTGGGCGGATCACGAGGTCAGGAGATCGAGACCATCCTGGCTAACACGGTGAAAACTCGTCTCTACTAAAAATACAAAAAATTAGCCAGGCGCGGTGGTGGGTGCCTATAGTCCCAGCTACTCAGGAGGCTGAGGCAGGAGAATGGCGTGAACCCGGGAGGCGGAGCTTGCAGTGAGCCGAGATCGCGCCACTGCACTCCAGCCTGGGTGACAGAGCGAGACTCCGTCTCAAAAAAAAAAAAAAAAATCTTCATCTTGTGGATATTTAGAAATACTCAAAGGAGAATAATGTAATGAAATATTTTAACAAGCTTCCATGCATCCATTACCCAATTTCAATAGTTAGGAATGGTTTTGCAGGTTTTTGGTTTTGCTTTTTAATTTGTATTTTGAGACTTCGTTTTTGAGACCACAGTTTCATGTCTGTAGGTAAACTGAACCTATAAAGGACCAGTTAACTGAGAAGCATTTGAAGCAAAAAATTTGTCTTCTAGTACTATTAGATTAAGAATATTTCCTTTAAAATGTAATTGATTATTTTAAAGATAATAGGTTTTGTATTATTGAAAGTTGCTTCTTTTTTGTATTCAGTAAAGAGCTGCTTGGCTAAGAACTGGTGTTTTCCATTGAATAAAAACTGGACAGATACCTTCGTGACTGAATATTTTTCGTTTCCCTGGGCTGCTGGATACTCTGTTTTCCTATAGCACTTAGTTTGCAATGTGGACCCATTTGCCAAATTCTTCTAAAATTGCTGCTACTGGAATTCTTCTCCTCTCACCTTCTTATTCTAGCCTCTCATTCTCCTATCATCTAAAGAGCAAGAAAGCTAAATTAGCTCTTCTAATTTAAAAATGAATACATTCCTCTTGTCCTGTCCCCCATGAGATTTTTCTACCATTTGTTTTACTGACTTTTATTCCCAGTTTTCTAAAGGAATATTGTCCTTGCTTTACAGCTTGTAATTTCACCATTCAAAACAAAAAACCAGATTGGCAATATAATAATAGCTGCAGTTTATCTAATTTCCTCTGTGTGCCAGGGATGGTGCCAAGCTCTTTATATGCATTGTCTCATTTACTTTTCACAGTAATCCTATGAGGTTTACGTAGGTTAAGTTGAGGCCAGGTGTGGTGGCTCCCACCTCTAATTCCAGCACTTCAGGAGGCCAAGGCAGGAGGATCACTTGAGGCAAGTAGTTCACAACCAGCCTGGGCAACAAAGTGAGACACTGTCTCTACAAAAAAATTAAAATATTAGAGGTGTAATAGCATGCACCTGTAATCCCAGCTACTCGAGAGACTGAGGTGGTAGGATTGTGTGAGCTCAGGAAGTCAAGGCAGCAGTGAGCCATGATTGTACCACAGCACTCCAGCTTGGGTGACAGAGTGAGATCTTGTCTCAATTTAAAAAAAAAAAAAGATAGATTAAGTTGGTAGTAAGTTAGTAACTGGTAGAACTTGACTCAAGCCAAAATCTAAGATTTTCACCAATACAATCTGGAAATTTTTAAAAAATTGCCCTGCTAAACTCCCCAATTATCAAACTGACATAGAGTTTTGTGGCCCCTTATTCCTTCATGGGCTGCACAATCTATCCTGTTCCCCCTGCTATCCTGATGGCCTTTTAGGGTGGTTGCACAGTATATGATGAAGGACTAGAAACTAAACCTGACACACATGTGGTTATGCCCTTTCCCTTTCTCCTTGTGATGGCAAATCAAATCTGCAAGCTGTTGTTTAAAACACAGCCTGTTAGTTTTTTCTTCTCTCAAAGAGAAGAAGTAATAATACAGGTTGAGCACCCCAAATCCGAAATGTGCCAGTGAGCATTTCCTGAGTATCATGTCAGCACTCAAAAGGTTTCAGACTTTGGAGCATTTCACGTTTTCAGATTATGGATGTTCACTTGGTAAGTATAACACAAATATTCCAAAATCTGAAAAAAAACCCAACATCCAAAATACTTTTTGTCCCAAGCATTTCAGATAAGGATGCTCAGCCTGTACTTGGTGACTTGTTATGTCAGTGACCTTCTCTTACACTGGAGTTATGACTATCATATTAGGAAACATGGAAAGTTATCTCGCTATATAGACCAGTTTAAGTTTTTCTTTAATTGCTGTTTATTCTGCAGATATCTAAGTTAGTGTGCTAGTTGTATAATAGTATAATTGGCCTCAGTTAATACTATCATTACTTTTTATCATTCATAGTTTTCATTTCTAAAAACTTCATTAGTATTAATTCTTTCTGCTAGTAGTTTTAATGGACTCTCTTTTATAAAGAGAGAAGGTTAGTCCCAGTTAACATTACCTTTCTCTACAATTAATTTTTTTAACTTGGAGATTTATACATTAGCTCTGGCAGTATTATTTGACATTTATTTGTAATATCCAACTTCTTGATAATTGGAAATAGAGTCTGTAATACAAATGACATTGATAATCATGCATCAGAGTTGCATATAAATGTTCAGAAACTCTTTTCACACTCTTTTTACCTGTTTGCCAAGTCTTTCATCTAGCCCCTTAAAAAGAGCCTGGTGCCAGAAAGAGGAAACTCAGTTATCTTCCTAGATATACAATTTGTTTGACTATGATTAAAAACTAAAGTATAAAGTAGGAAGACAGTTAAAAGCCAGAATCGCTGGCATCTGGTAACATCCTCACCTTTAGCAAGATCAGTTGCTCTTGATCCCAGACTTTTACATAGCTTATTGTTGAAAGCAGGATCTTAGCAAAAAGCTATCTTTGTGTATATGTGTGTGTGTGTGTGTATGTGTGTATGTGTGTATATGTGTTTTCTCTCTGAGGGTCAGAATGCAGAATGATTTTTAGATAACAATTAGAAAATAGAAATGTAACATTTTATGATATTAAGTACTAGGATATTTGAGAATTAAAATAGTGTGTGCATTCTAAACGTAAAATGATATTCTGGAATCGAAAAAGGACATTAATGGAAAAACTGGTGAAATCTAATAAAATCTATGGTTTATAGTTTTGTACCAGTGTTCTTAGTTTTAATAGATGTACTATAATTATGTGAGATATTAACATTAGGGGAAACTGGGTGAAAAGTGCATGGGAACTCTGTACTATCTTTACAACTCTTATGTAAATGTAAATTATTCCAAGATAAAAGGTTAGTGGTGGCTGCCACCTAAAATCCCAGTGCTTTCAGAGGCCAAGGTGGGAGGATTTCTTGAGGCCAGGATTTGAGGAAAACATAGCAAGACCCTATCTATACAAATAATAACAAAAATTACCCAGGTATGGTGGCATACACCTGCGGTCCCAGCTATTCAGGAGGCTAAGGCAGGAGAGAGGCAGGAGGATCACTTGAGCCCAGGAGTTTGAGGTTACAGTAAGCTGTGATCACACCACTGCATTCCAGCTGGGGTGACAGAGCAAGACCCTGTCTCTAAAAAATAAGTAAAAAGTTAAAACAGTGTACATCTATACAACTAGCAAGATTATGAAGAAAAAAATAAACGAATATCACCAAAGTCAGGATTGTGATTATAGAGGGACACATGAAGACTTCTGAGGTATTGGCAGTTTCCTGGGAGATGACTACACAAGTGTTCACTTGATACTTACTTGTTAAACCATAGATCTGTTTCATGTACTTTTCTGAATAGATGTTATATTTCACAGTTAAGATTAGAAAATAATATGTATTATTTCCAGTTAGTAAGATTGCAGATCACTATGGGGAAACATTTGTTCCTAATGTCTATATTCCTTAATTAATTAAGAATTTGTAAAGAATATATTCTTTGGAGTGGTGATGAGGTTTCAGCTGTGAAGTGTTGCCTCTCTCATTCATGGTTTTGTATGCTTTGTTTAGGTAGAAACGTTGAAGCACAATGATCCTTTTGCTCCTGGTGGAACAGTTGTTGCAGCAAGCGATTCAGGTAAATAAATAATTTATCAACTTCATTGAACATTAAACATTTTTTTTAAGATTCTTTTTTCTTTGTCTCTAAATATATTTGTCCTGTTATTTATAGCTTTAAAATTATTGCATAATTATATCCAATAGTAATTTACCAATAATAAGCATTTGTATATCACTTTCTACTTATCTTTCATTCTTTCATTTATTATTCATGTTGAATATTACACTAGAATATGAACTCTACCCAGTATCAGTAAACCAATAAAAATGTTTTGCTTTATAAAATGCTGTGTTGCTTGGCAGCTTCAAAGTCAGCATTGACTGTTACGGATCTTGGTCTAAGTTAAAAGATTAGTGGCTTCCAGTAGAAAATGAAAATTGCTTTACAAATACAAATGGGTTCTGTTAATAATACAGAGAAAAGCTAAATGTTATTTTAGCATCCAGTCTTCATACTTCATTTATGGTATAAAATTTTTTATTTATTCTTTTAATAACTTTTTAAATAGTAATCTCATTTTAAACATAAACTGAGGACCAGAATATTAAGCAGTGTTCATCAAGATCGTACAGTTTAATAGATTTGAACCAGGTAAAGCCAAGATTCAATATTAGGTCTGACAAAAAGCTTTTTCAACAAAGTAACTCTGCTTCTTTTCTACTGTTCATTTAAAACAAAACAGATAAACAGACCAGCTATCATTTGGGATGGGAGAGCAGAAAATTTGAGGAAAGTAAACTCAAATGTGTAAATACTCTAATATTATGCTGAAAATAGATCGCTTTATTTTTCTAGGTGAATACAGAGTGAGTTGTTCAGTATACAGATGTATTAATTGTGACTAATTAAGGATTATGAACATAGAAAAAGAATAGTAGAAATGCCTTTACAGGAGCCTGGGCCCGGTGGCTCACGCCTGTAATCCCAGCATTTTGGGAAACCAAGGCAGGTAGATCACTTGAGGTCGAGACCAGCCTGGCCAACATGGTGAAACCCCGTCTCCACTAAAAATGCAAAAATTAGCCAGGTATGGTGGTGGGTGCCTATAATCCCAGCTACTTGGGAGGCTGAGGCAGGAGAATTGCCAGAAGGCGGAGGTTGCAATGAGCTGAGATTGTGCCATTGCACGCCAGCCTGGGCAACAGAGTGAGACTCTGTCTCCAAAAAAAAGGCTGGCTCTAAAAAACAGGTTGGGTTTCTTATAATGAACAAATTGTAACAAGATGAGATTTAGCAGAGTGCATTGTTTTCGGGTTGGAAATTAACTCCCAACATGAGTAGCAAGAGTGAGGAATACAAAAAGGAGATATGTAGAAAATAAGATTTAATGTAGGCTGGATATTGATTTAAATAGAAACTTAGAATGAGAGCAAGTGAGACTTCTAAAAGGCTTATTGTATTAACAGTGGTTAAATTACATATTTTTTAAGTACATGTGCTCTTTTTATACCCTCATTATTAAGCTGATTATATTGCTAGGGGTACTATAGAATTAAAAAGGATAACCTAAGAGAATAAAATGAAAGGTTAATACGTTTATGATTGCCCACACCAAGGAAATGGTAAGTGCCATAAGAGTTAATTAAACCAGCAGAGATTAAAGGAAGGGGAGATCACGTTAAGGATAAATCATTAATGATATCAAAGTGGAATGTGGCTTTTGTGGTATGCCTTGAAAGCATGGGCTAGTATTTTAGCAGGTAAATATGGAAAGAGATTATGTGGAGCAAAAAGAACAATGTGAACAAGGAATGGAGGCAGAACATATAGGGCATATTCAAGGAAAAACTAACACATTTTTGCAAGAGCTATTTCTCTTTTTTTTGCAAGATAGAGGAATAGTCAAGGCTGAAGTGGTAGGTTACAGTGTTACATTAAAGATTTCTAATACCTCTGTTGATCTTCTGCTTAAATTCCAGTTCCTAATTCATTTCCTGTAAAGTGGTAGAATAAATGATGATAATAGCCTAGGAGGGTGCAAAGATTTATCATTAATTGTAATAATAATGGCTACTATTTATTGAACACTTGCAGAGTTCCAGCAGTCAACATGCTAATCATTTTTCTCTACTTGGTCCCATTTAATTCTCACAACAACTACGTTAGATTATTTGTATTATGTTTATTATACAGACAAGGAAAATCCAGGCATGGAGAGATGAAACAGTTTTCAGAAGGTTAAAGTAGTAGTATTAGATGTATCCAATTCAAATGAGGTCTCTGGTTTTCCACCTGCCTCTTTGGTCATTCTTTCTTTAATCTCCTTTGTTGATATTTCCTCTTTTTCTCAACCTCTTAATATTGTGTTGTCCCAAGTCTTAGTCCTTGGACCTCTTTTCTTTTTTATCTGTACTCCCTTGGGGGAACTCATCTGTGGCTTCAAATACTACTGATACACTGATCTATATCTCTAGTCACATCTCTTTCCTGAACCCCAGGCTCATTTTTCCAGCTATTTATTTGGCATCTCCACTTGAATGTCTGATAGATATATCTAATGCATAAGTCTAACACAAAGCAGCTATTTTTCCTTCCTAAACCTGCTTTTCTTGGCACCTTCGACATCTTCATGGTTCATCTTTAATGTTGTCCAGGCCTAAAATCTTAGAATCATCCTTGGTTCTTCTTTTGCTCTTCCTCTGTCTCTAATCTGTCAGGAAATCTTATTGACTCTACCTTCAAATTATATCCAGTAAAAGCCTTACAGTGGCCTGCACTTTTCTAACAATATCTCATCATTATTCCCATTACTCACTCTGCTCCAGCCACACTGGTCTTCTTGCTGCTGCTCAAACAACAGACCCATGTTCTTTGGCCCTTTGCACTAGCTGTTCCCTCTTCCTGGGATGATCCTTCTCCGTATGTTCACATGATAATCTCTACTACCTCTGACAAATCTTTTATTTTATTTTATTTTATTTTATTTTATTTTATTTTATTAAAGTTTTAGGGTACATGTGCACAATGTGCAGGTTAGTTACATATGTATACATGTGCCATGCTGGTGTGCTGCACCCATTAACTCGTCATTTAGCATTAGGTATATCTCCTAATGCTATCCCTCCCCCTTCCCCCCAACCCACGAAAGGCCATGGTGTGTGATGTTCCCCTTCCTGTGTCCATGTGTTCTCATTGTTCAATTCCCACCTATGAGTGAGAACATGCGGTGTTTGGTTTTTTGTCCTTGTGATAGTTTACTGAGAATGATGATTTCCAGTTTCATCCATGTCCCTACAAAGGACATGAACTCATCATTTTTTATGGCTCCATAGTATTCCATGGTGTATATGTGCCACATTTTCTTAATCCAGTCTATCATTGATGGACATTTGGGTTGGTTCCAAGTCTTTGCTATTGTGAATAGTGCTGCAATAAATATACGTGTGCATGTGTCTTTATAGCAGCATGATTTATAGTCCTTTGGGTATATACCCAGTAATGGGATGGCTGGGTCAAATGGTATTTCTAGTTCTAGATCCCTGAGGAATTGCCACACTGAATTCCACATGGTTGAACTAGTTGACAGTCCCACCAACAGTGTAAAAATGTTCCTGTTTCTCCATATCCTCTCCAGCACCTGTTGTTTCCTGACTTTTTAATGATTGCCATTCTAACTGGTGTGAGATGGTATCTCATTGTGGTTTTGATTTGCATTTCTCTGATGGCCAGTGATGATGAGCATTTTTTCACGTGTCTGTTGGCTGCATAAATGTCTTCTTTGGAGAAGTGTCTGTTCATATCCTTCATCCACTTTTTGATGGGGTTGTTTTTTTTTTCTTGTAAATTTGTTTGAGTTCATTGTAGATTCTGGATATTAGCCCTTTGTCAGATGAGTAGGTTGCAAAAATTTTCTCCCATTTTGTAGGTTGCCTGTTCACTCTGATGGTAGTTTCTTTTGCTGTGCAGAAGCTCTTTAGTTTAATGAGATCCCATTTGTCAATTTTGGCTTCTGTTGTCATTGCTTTTGGTGTTTTAGACATGAAGTCCTTGCCCATGCCTATGTCCTGAATGGTGATGCCTAGGTTTTCTTCTAGGGTTTTTATGGTTTTAGGTCTAACGTTTAAGTCTTTAATCCATCTTGAATTAATTTTTGTATAAGGTGTAAGGAAGGGATCCAGTTTCAGCTTTCTACATATGGCTAGCCAGTTTTCCCAGCACCATTTATTAAATAGGGAATCCTTTCCTCATTGCTTGTTTTTCTCAGGTTTGTCAAAGATCAGATAGTTGTAGATATGCGGCGTTATTTCTAAGGGCTCTGTTCTGTTCCATTGATCTATATCTCTGTTTTGGTACCAGTACCATGCTGTTTTGGTTACTGTAGCCTTGTAGTATAGTTTGAAGTCAGGTATTTGATGCTGCCAGCTTTGTTCTTTTGGCTTAGGATTGACTTGGCGATGCAGGCTCTTTTTTGGTTCCATATGAATTTTAAAGTAGTTTTTTCCAATTCTGTGAAGAAAGTCATTGGTAGCTTGATGGGGATGGCATTGAATCTATAAATTACCTTGGGCAGTATGGCCATTTTCACGATATTGATTCTTCCTACCCATGAACATGGAATGTTCTTCCATTTGTTTGTATCCTCTTTTATTTCATTGAGCAGTGGTTTGTAGTTCTCCTTGAAGAGGTCCCTCATGTCCCTTGTAAGTTGGATTCCTAGGTATTTTATTCTCTTTGAAGCAATTGTGAATGAGAGTTCACTCATGATTTGGCTCTCTGTCTGTTATTGGTGTATAAGAATGCTTGTGATTTTTATACATTGATTTTGTATCCTGAGACTTTGCTGAAGTTGCTTATCAGCTTAAGGAGATTTTGGGCTGAGACAGTGGGGTTTTCTAGATATATAATCATGTCATCTGCAAACAGGGACAATTTGATTTCCTCTTTTCCTAATTGAATACCCTTTATTTCCTTCTCCTGCCTAATGGCCCTGGCCAGAACTTCCAACACTGTGTTGAATAGGAGTGGTGAGAGAGGGCATCCCTGTCTTGTGCCAGTTTTCAAGGGGAATGCTTGCAGTTTTTGCCCATTCAGTATGATATTGGCTGTGGGTTTGTCATAGATAGCTCTTATTATTTTGAGATACGTCCCATCAATACCTAATTTATTGAGAATTTTTAGCATGAAGGGTTGTTGAATTTTGTCAAAGGCCTTTTCTGCATCTATTGAGATAATCATGTGGTTTTTGTCTTTGGTTCTGTTTATATGCTGGATTACATTTATTGATTGGCATATATTGAACCAGCCTTGCATCCCAGGGATGAAGCCCACTTGATCATGGTGGATAAGCTTTTTGATGTGCTGCTGGATTCGGTTTGCCAGTATTTGATTGAGGATTTTTGCATCAATGTTCATCAAGGATATTGGTCTAAAATTCTCTTTTTTGGTTGCATCTCTGCCTGGCTTTGGTATCAGGATGATGCTGGCCTCATAAAATGAGTTAGGGAGGATTCCCTCTTTTTCTGTTGATTGGAATAGTTTCAGAAGGAATGGTACCAGTTCCTCCTTGTACCTCTGGTAGAATTCGGCTGTGAATCCATCTGGTCCTGGACTCTTTTTGGTTGGTAAGCTATTGATTATTGCCACAATTTCAGAGTCTGTTATTGGTCTATTCAGAGAGTCAACTTCTTCCTGGTTTAGTCTTGGGAGGGTGTATGTGTCGAGGAATTTATCCATTTCTTCTAGATTTTCTAGTTTATTTGCATAGAGGTGTTTGTAGTATTCTCTGATGGTAGTTTGTATTTCTGTGGGATCGGTGGTGATATCCCCTTTATCAGTTTTTATTGCGTCTATTTGATTCTTCTCTCTTTTTTTCTTTATTAGTCTTGCTAGCGGTCTATCAATTTCGTTGATCCTTTCAAAAAACCAGCTCCTGGATTCATTAATATTTTGAAGGGCTTTTTTGTCTGTTTCCTTCAGTTCTGCTCTGATTTTAGTTATTTCTTGCCTTCTGCTAGCTTTTGAATGTGTTTGCTCTTGCTTTTCTAATTCTTTTAATTGTGATGTTAGGGTGTCAATTTTGGATCTTTCCTGCTTTGTCTTGTGGGCATTTAGTGCTATAAATTTCCCTCTACACACTGCTTTGAATGTGTCCCAGAGATTCTGGTATGTTGTGTCTTTGTGCTCGTTGGTTTCAAAGAAGATCTTTATTTCTGCCTTCATTTCGTTATGTACCCAGTAGTCATTCAGGAGCAGGTTGTTCAGTTTCCATGTAGTTGAGTGGTTTTGAGTGAGTTTCTTAATCCTGAGTTCTAGTTTGATTGCACTGTGGTCTGAGAGACAGTTTGTTATAATTTCTGTTCTTTTACATTTGCTGAGGAGAGCTTTACTTCCAACTACATGGTCAATTTTGGAATAGGTGTGGTGTGGTGCTGAAAATAATGTATATTCTGTTGATTTGTGGTGGAGAGTTCTGTAGATGTCTATTAGGTCTGCTTGGTGCAGAGCTGAGTTCAATTCCTGGATATCCTTTTTAACTTTCTGTCTCATTGATCTGTCTAATGTTAACAGTGGGGTGTTAAAGTCTCCCATTATTATTGTGTGGGAGTCTAAGTCTCTTTGTAGGTCTCTAAGGACTTGCTTTATGAATCTGGGTGCTCCTGTATTGGGTGCATATATACTTAGGATAGTTAGCTCTTCTTGTTGAATTGATCCCTTTACCATTATGTAATGGCCTTCTTTGTCTCTTTTGATCTTTGTTGGTTTAAAGTCTGTTTTATCAGAGACTAAGATTGCAACCCCTGCCTTTTTTTGTTTTCCATTTGCTTGGTAGATCTTCCTCCATCCTTCTATTTTGAGCCTATGTGTGTCTCTGCACGTGAGATGGGTTTCCTGAATACAGCACACTAATGGGTCTTGACTCTTTATCCAACTTGCCAGTCTGTGTCTTTTAATTGGAGCATTTAGTCCATTTACATTTAAAGTTAATATTGTTATGTGTGAATTTGATCCTGTCGTTATGATGTTAGCTGGTGATTTTGCTCATTAGTTGATGCAGTTTCTTCCTAGTCTCGATGGTCTTTACAATTTGGCATGATTTTGCAGTGGCTGGTACTGGTTGTTCCTTTCCATGTTTAGTGCTTCCTTCAGGAGCTCTTTTAGGGCAGGTCTGGTGGTGACAAAATCTCTCAGCATTTGCTTGTCTGTAAAGTATTTTATTTCTCCTTCACTTATGAAGCTTAGTTTGGCTGGATATGAAATTCTGGGTTGAAAATTCTTTTCTTTAAGAATGTTGAACATTGGCCCCCACTCTCTTCTGGCTTGTGGAGTTTCTGCCAAGAGATCCGCTGTTAGTCTGATGGGCTTCCCTTTGTGGGTAACCCGACCTTTCTCTCTGGCTGCCCTTAACCTTTTTTCCTTCATTTCAACTTTGGTGAATCTGATAATTAAGTGTCTTGGAGTTGCTCTTCTCGAGGAGTATCTTTGTGTCGTTCTCTGTATTTCCTGAATCTGAATGTTGGCCTGCCTTGCTAGATTGGGGAAGTTCTCCTGGATAATATCCTGCAGAGTGTTTTCCAACTTGGTTCCATTCTCCCTGTCACTTTCAGGTACACCAATCAGATGTAGATTTGGTCTTTTCACATAGTCCCATATTTCTTGGAGGCTTTGTTCGTTTCTTTTTATTCTTTTTTCTCTAAACTTCCCTTCTTGCTTCATTTCATTCATTTCATCTTCCATCACTGATACCCTTTCTTCCAGTTGATCGCATTGGCTGCTGAGGCTTCTGCATTCTTCACGTAGTTCTCGACTTTTGGTCTTTGATGATGGTGATGTACAGATGAGTTTTTGGTGTGGATGTCCTTTCTGTTTGTTAGTTTTCCTTCTAACAGACAGGACCCTCAGCTGCAGGTCTGTTGGAGTTTGCTAGAGGTCCACTCCAGACCCTGTTTGCCTGGGTATCAGCAGCGGTGGCTGCAGAACAGCGGATTTTCTTGAACCGCAAATGCTGCTGACCGCTGACAAATCTTAATTCAGATATCACCTTCTCAGTGAAGCTTATTCAGGCCACTCTGTCTGACATTTACAAGTACCACTACCCAGCTCAGTGCTCCCACATTACTATTCTCTACTTTTCTTCTTTCATTGTCACTTACTTTCCATCTTATTATATAAATTACTTTACTTTTCTCTTATCTGTTTCCTTTTCATCCTATTAGAAATTAAGCTCCAGAAGGAATTGAGATCTTTGTTTTCACTGATATAACCCAAGAACCTGAAAATATGCCTGGGCGTATGTTATTGAATGAAAAAATGAGCCAGCTGCTCTTCTCAGAGAACATGTAATGGGAGTCTAGTGGGTAGACATTATTTATTTTGTTATGATAAGTAGTTTTTTTAAATTGTGGTAAAATATACATAACATAAAGTTTGGCATTTTAACCTTTTTTAAATGTACAGTTCACGAGCATTAAGTACATTCACATTGTTGTGCAATCATCACCACCATCCATCTCAAGAACTTTTTTCATATTCCAGAACTGAAATTCTGTATCCATTAAATAATAACTCCCTATCCTCCCTCTCACCAAACCCTAACAACCATCATTACTACTCTGCATACTTCATATAAGTGGAATCATAAAAAAAATTCATATTTTGGTGATTGACTTATTTCATTTACCATAATGTCCTCAAGGTTCATCCATATGGTATAATGTATTGAATTTTTTACCTTTTTCAGACTTGATAATATTCTATTATATGTATATACTGCATTTTGTTTATTTGTTCATTCATTAATGGACACTTAGTTGCCGTCACATTTTGTTTGTGTGCATAATGCTACTGTGAATGTGAGGGTACAGATATCTGAGTCCCTGCTTTCAGTTCTTTTGGGTATAATTCTAAAAGTAGAATTGCTGGATCATATGGTAATGCTGTTTTTAGTTTTTTGAGAAATGATCATACTATTCTCCACAGCAGCCATACCATTTTATACACCAGCCAACAATTCACAGTGGTTCCAGTATTTCCACATCTTTGCCAACCCTTACTACTTTCTGTTTTATAGGCATCCTAATGGGTGTGAAGTGGTATCTTATTGCTTTGATTTGTATTTCCCTAATGATTAGTATGTAGTGCCTTTTTTTATATGCTTATTGGCTATTTGTATATCTTCTATGGAGAAATACCTATTCAAGTCCTCTGCCCATTTCTAAATCAGGTTGTTTTTGTTGAATTTTTTATATATCCTAGATATTAACCCCTTATCAGATAAATGATTTGCAAATATTTTCTCCCATCCTGTGGGTTACCTTTTCATTCTGTTAGTACTGTCCGTTGGTGAACAAAAGTTTTTAATTTTGATGTAGCTCATTTTATCTATTGTGTTGTTGTTGCCTTTGCTTTTAGTGTTATAACCAAGAAAGCGTTGCTAAATCCAATATCAGGAAGCATTTCCCCGATAAGTTTTATAGTTTTAGCTCTTACATTTAGGTATTTAATCCATTTTGAGTTAATTTTTGTATATTGTGTGAGGTAAGAGTCCAACTTCATTCATTTGCATGTGGATATTCAGTTTTCCCATCATCTTTTCTTGTGAAGACCGTCCTTTTTCCATTGTTTGTTCTTGGCACGTTTCTTGAAAATCATTTGACCATATATGTGAGGGTTTATTTCTGGATTCTGTATTCTGTTCCATTGATCTATATGGTTTGTATTTATGCAGTTCCTCACTGTTTTAATTACTATAGCTTTGAAATAAGATTTGAAATCAGAAAGTTTGACTACCAACTTTGTTGTTCCTTTTTAAGACTGCTTTGGGCTGGGCACAGTGGCTCATGCATGTAATCCCAGCACTTTGGGAGGTCAAGGTGGGTGGATCGCCTGAGCTCAGGAGTTCAAGACCAGCCTGGCCAATGACTGAGTTCAGGAGTTCAAGACCAGCCTGGGCAACATAGTGAGACTCTGTCTCTACAAAAAAATGCAAAAATTAGCCAGGCATAGTGGCATGCACCTGTACTCCCAGCTACTTGGGAAGCTGAGGTGGGAGGATCACTTGAGCCGAGGAGGCAGAGATTACAGTGAGCCAAGATCATGCCACTGCACTGTAGCCTGGGTGACAGAACCAGACCCTGTCTCAAAAAAAAAAAAAAAAAAAAGAAAGAAAGAAAAAGAAAAAGACTGCTTTGGCTATTCAGGTTCCTTGAGATTCCATATGAATTTTAGGATGAATTTTTCTATTTCTGCCAAAAGAAAAAGTCATTAGGATTTTTGATAGGGATTGCATTGAATCTGTAGATATCTTTGGGTAATATTACCAACTTAAAAATATTAAGTCTTCTAATCTGTGAACATGGGATGTCTTTCCATTTGTTTGTGTCTTTAATTTCTTTCAGAATGTATTGTATTGTCAGTATACAAGTCCTCCTTGGTTAATTCCCAAGTATTTCATTCTTTTTGATGCTGTTGTAAATGGAATTGTTTTCTTAATTTCCTTTCCAGATTGTTCATTGTTGGTATATAGAAATATGACTGATTTTCATATGTTGATTTTTGTATCCTGCTACTGTGCCAAATTCAACTATTAGTTCTAATTGTTTTTTGGTGGAATCTTTAGGGTTTTCTACATATAAGAGCATGTTATTTGCAAACAGATTTTATTTCTTTGTTTTGAATCTGGATGCCTTTTATTTCTTTTTCTTGCCTAAGTGCTTTGGCTAGGACTTCCACTACTATATTGCAGGGATCCCCAAACCCTGGGCCACGGACCAGTACCAGTCTGTGGCCTGTTAGGAACCAGGCTGCACAGGAGGAGGTGAGTGATGGGCAAGTGAGCAGTACCTAATGCCTGAGCTCCGCTTCCTGTCAGATCAGCAGCAGCATTAGATTCTCATAGGAGCTTGAACCTTATTGTGAACTGCACATGTGAGGGATCTAGGTTGTGCACTCCTTATGAGAATCTAACACCTGATGATCTGAGGTGGAACAGTTTCATCCTGAAATCATTCCCCTCATCCCACCCCCAAGTCCTAAAAAAATTGTCTTCCACAAAACCGGTCCCTGGTGCCAGAAAGGTTGAGAACTGCTGCTATATTGAATAGAAGTGGTAGAAATGGTAAGAGCACGCATCCTTGTCTTGTTCCTTATTGTAGAGAAATGGTTTCAGCCTCTCAAGATTGAATGTGATATTCACTGTTGGCTTTTCATATATAGCCTTTATTAAGTTGAGGTAGTTTTCCTTCTGTTCTTAGCTTGTTGAGTGTTTTTATCATGAAAGGGTTTTGAATTCTGTCAAATACTTTTTTTGCATCCATTGAAATGATTGGTGTTGTATTTTTCCCCTCATTCTGTTAATGTGGTGTATTACATTGAATGATTTTTGTATGTTGAACCATTCTTATATTCCAGGAATAAATCCCACTTGGACATGGTGTATAATCCCTTTAATGTGCTGTTGAATTCTGTTGAGGATTTTTACAAAAATATTCATAAAGGATATTGATCTATAGTTTTCTTTTCTCATCTATATGTCTTCATCTGGCTTTGATAGCAGAGTAATACTGGCTTCACAGAATGAGTATGGAATTGTTCCTGCCTCTTCAATTTTTTGGAAGAGTTTGAGGGAGACTGGTTTTGATTATACTTTAAATGTTTGGTAGAATTCACCCGTGAAGTCATGTAATCGTGAGCTTTTCTTTGTTGGGAGGTGTTTTGTTTTGTTAATTTTAAAAATAATGGTGGCCGGGCACAGTGGCTCACGCCTGTAATCCCAGCACTTTGGGAGGCTGAGGCGGGTGGATCACTTGAGGTCAGGAGTTCAAAACCAGCCTGGCCAACATGGTGAAACCCCATCTCTACTAAAAATACAAAAATGAGCCAGGCGTGGTGGTGGGCGCCTGTCATCCCAGCTACTCAGGAGACTGAGATAGGAGAATCTCTTGAACCTGGGATGTGGAGGTTGCAGTGAGCCGAGATTACACCACTGCACTCCAGCCTGGGCCACAAAGCGAGACTCTGTCTCAAAAAAAAAAAAAAAAAAAATTAAAAATATGGAATGCCACAAGAATTTGCATGTTATCCTTGCACAGGGGCCATGCTAACCTTCCCTGTATCTTTCTAGTTTTAGTATATGTGCTGCTAAAGTGAGCACTGTTGGAAGGTTTTTGATTACAGATTCAATCTCTTTATTAGTTATGAGTCAATTCAGATTTTCTTTGTTTTTGTGATTCAGTCTCCATGACTTGTGTTTCTCAGAATTTGTTCTTCTCATTTATATTATTCAGTTTGTTGATGTATAATTGTTCATAGCACTGTGTTAACAATCCTTTTTATTTCTGTGAAATTACTAGTAATGTCTCCTCTTTCATTTCTGATTTTAGTTATTGAGTCTTGTTTTCTTAGCCCATCTAGGAATGTCAATTTTGTTGATCTTTTCAAAGAACAAACTCTTGGTTCTATTGATTTTCTCTATTTTTCTATTCTCTGTGTTGTCTCTGCTCCAATTTTTATTATTCATTTCTTTCTGCTAGCTTTGAGTTTAGCTTGCTTTTCTTTTTTTAGGTCCTTTACAGTGTAAAGTTAGGTTGTTGATTTGAGCTCTTCTTTTTTAAGTATTTATAGTTAGAAGTTTATCTCAGCACAGCTTTTGCTGCTATATCCCGTTAGTTTTGGTAATGCTGTGTTTCCATTTTCATTTGTTTCAAGATATTTTCTAATTTTCTTTGTGATTTTTCTTTGACCAATTGGTTGAGCGTGATATTTAATTTCCACCTATTTGTAGGTCGTCTAGTTTTGCTTCTGCTGTTAATTTTTAGTTTTATTCTGTTTTAATTGGAAGAGATAAATTTATTTATTATTTTTATTTTGAGATAGAGCCTCGTTCTGCCACCCAGGCTGGGGTGCAATGGCGCGATCTCAGCTCACTGCAACCTCTGCCTCCCGGGTTCAAGCAATTCTCCTGCCTCAGCCTCACAAGTAGCTGGGACTATAGGCGCCCACCACCACGCCCGTGTCATTTTTGTATTTTTAGTAGAGACGGGGTTTCACCATGTTGGCCAGGCTGGTCTCGAACTCCTGATCTCAAGGGACCTGCCCATCTCGGCCTCCCAAAGTGTTGGGATTACAGGCATGAGCCACCGCACCTGGCTGGAAGAGATATTTTTATGATTTCAATTTTTTAAAATTCATTAAGAGTTGTTCTATGGCCTAAAGTATGTTCTGTCTTGGAGAACATTAGATATGTACTTGAGAAAATGTGTATTCTGCTATTGTTGGGTGGAGTGTTCTGTATATATCTGTTAGGTCCAGTTGATCTAAAGTGTTGTTCAAGTCCTCTCTCTCCTTATTGAAAGTGAGATATTGAAGTCTCCAACTGTTACTGTAGAGCTGTCTGTTTCTCCCTTCAGTTCTGTCAGTGTTTAATGTATATATTGAAGAAGCATGTTTGGTGCATGTATGTTTATAAATGTTACATCATATTGGTAAATTGACCCTTTATTTATTGTATAATGTCCATCTTTGTCTCTTGTAACAGTTGTAGAGTTAAAGTCTATTTTTTCTGATATTAAGATATCTCTGCTTTCTTGATATTCTATTTGCATGAAATATCTTTTTTCATCTTTTCCCTTTCAAACTATGTGTGTCCTTAGATCTAAAGTGAATCTCTCTTATACAGCATGTAGTTGTGTTTTGCATTTTTTTTCTACCAGTTTGTGTCTTTTCATTAGAGAGTTTAATCCATTCACATTTAAAGTAATTACTGATAGGGAAGGACTTATTATTGTCATTTTGCTGTTTGTTTCTGTATGTCCTATAGTTTTATGTCCCTTATTTCCTCTATTACGGTCTTCATTTATGTTTAGTTGATTTTTTGTAGTGACATTTTTTATTCCCTCCTCATTTCCTTTTACTCTTTTCTCTGTGTTTCATGGAGATTACACAAAACATCCTACAATTATAACAGTCTATTTTAAACTGATAAGATTTAATTTCAGTTGGATCCAAAACCACTCCTTTACAGCTCCACTCCCCACTTTATGTGGTTGAAAGTCACAATTTACTTCTAAAGTTGAGTTGTGAGCCAGTATTATAGTAATACTATTTTTTATATTTGTCCATATGTTGATATTTACCTTTATCAGAGAAAACTTTATATTTTCATTTGGTGTCTAACATCCTTTCATTTCAACTTGAATGACTCCCTTTAGCATTTCTTTTTTTTCCTTTTTTTTTTTGAGGCAGAGTTTTGCTCTTGTTGCCCAGGCTGGAGT
Source organism: Homo sapiens (assembly GCF_000001405.40). Classification (NCBI taxonomy): domain Eukaryota; kingdom Metazoa; phylum Chordata; class Mammalia; order Primates; family Hominidae; genus Homo; species Homo sapiens. The sequence goes on along the minus strand of NC_000001.11, from coordinate 51,380,188 downwards.
GCAGTGACGCAGTCTCGGCTCACTGCAACGTCTGCCTCCTGGGTTCAGGCGATTCTCCTGCTTCAGCCTCGCTAGTTGCTGGGATTACAGGCATCTACCACCATGCCCGACTAATTTTTTTTTTTTTTTTTCCTGGAAGCAGAGTCTCACTCCAGGCTGGAATGCAGTGGCAAGATCTTGGCTCACTGCATCCTCCCCCTGTCGCTTCAAGTTGTTCTCCTGCCTCAGCCTTCCAAGTAGCTGGGACTACAGGCACGCACCACCATGCCCCACTAATTTTTGTATCTTTAGCAGAGATGGAGTCTCACCGTGTTTGCCAGGCTGGTCTTGAACTCCTGACCTCAAGTGATCCGTCCACCTTGGCCTCCCAAAGTGCTGGGATTACAGGCATGAGCCACCACGCCCAGCCATGCCTCACTAATTTTTGTATTTTTAGTAGAGATGGGGTTTCACCATGTTGGCCAGGCTGGTCTCAAACTCCTGACCTTACGTGATCCACCCACCTTGGCCTCCGAAAGTGCTGGGATTACAGGCATGAGCCACTGCTCCCAGCCCCTTTAGCATTTCTTATAGAGTAGGTCTAGTGGTAATGAACCATTCAGTTTTTGTTTATCTGGGAATATCTTAATTTCTCTCTTGTTTGTGAAGGACAGTTTACCAGATACAGAATTCTCAGTTGACAGTGTTTTTTTCGAACCCTTCAATATATTCCCCTACTCCCTTCAAGGTTTCTGCTGAGAAATTCACTGATAATTTTATTGAGGATCCTGGCCAGGCACTGTGGCTCATACCTGTAATCCCAACACTGTGGGAGGCCGAGGTGGGAGGATCACTTGAGGTCAGGAGTTCGAGACTAGCCTGGCCAACATGATGAAACTCCATCTCTACTAAAAATACAAAAATTATCCGGGCGTGGTGGCTTGCGCCTGTAGTCCTAGCTACTCCAGAGGCTGAGGCGGGAGAATCACTTGAACCCGGGAGGCAGAGGTTGCAGTAAGCCAAGATGGCAGCATTGCACTCCAGACTGGGTGACAGAACGAGACTCCATCCAAAAAGAAAAAAACAATTATTGAGGATCCCTTCTGCATGATGAGTCAGTTTTCTCTCACTACTTTCACAGTGCTATCTTTGTTTCTGTCTTTCAGCAGTTTGATTATAATGTAACTCAGCATAGGACTCTTTTGAGTTTATCCTACGTGGAGTTTGTTGACCTTTTTATATATCCATGTCTTCCCTCAAAGTTGGGGAGTTTTGGCCATTATTTCTTCAAATAAGCTCTCTGCCTCTTTCTTTCCGGTATAAAGATTAGTGTGGGGGTGTCTCCATTGTTCTTTTTTTTCCCCTCAAACTTAGAGCTGGAAGAAACCTTAGACATCCTGTGGGCCAGAATTTCATATTACCTTCCACAAAACTAACTTCCAGAGAGGTCTTCAGGAAGTTGGCAAATTTTAGTTACGTATTTTTAAAGTGTCTTTGAACTTTTAAGAACTACATCTCGTTAATTATATGTATTCGTATATATTATTATCCAAATTTTAACAAATTAGAGTGCATTGGTGCTTTAAAGTGCTGTCAACTACTCTGAGAATGCAAAATTCTTGTTTTAAAATGTGTATCTTACAACTCCTTCCTTGGATGAATTAGATTTTTTTAGATGGAGAAACCAAAATCAAGTACAGCCATACCTTGGAGACATTATGGTTTGGTTTTGTTTTAGGAACCCAGGCTGGTCTTGAATTCCTGGGCTCAAGCAGTCCTCCCACCTCAGTCTCCTAAAGTGCTAGGATTACAGGTGTGAGCCGCTGCACCTGGCCCAGCATGGGTTCTTTTCCATACCACCACAATAAAGCAAATATTGCAATAAAAGAAGTCACATATAAAAGTTCTGTTTTCACTATACTCTGGTCTATTAAGTGTGCAGTAACATGTCTAAAAAATGCACGTGTCTTAATTAGAAAATGCTTCATTGCTTTAAAAAAAAAAAATGCTAATGATCGGGCACAGTGGCTCACACCTGTAATCCCAGCACTTTGGGAGGCCGGGGTGGGTGAATCACCTGAGGTCAGGAGTTCAAGACCAGCCTGCGCAACATGGTGAAACCACGTCTCTACTAAAAATACAAAAAATTAGCCAGGCGTGGTGGCGGGTGCCTGTAATCCCAGCTACTTGGGAGGCTGAGGCAGGAGAATTGCTTGAACCCAGGAGGCTGAGGTTGCAGTGAGCTGAGATAGTGCCATTACACTCCAGCCTGGGCAACAAGAGTGAAACTCCATCTCAAAAAAAAAAAAAAAAAGCTAATGATTATTTGAGCCTTCAACAAATTGTAATCTTCTTGGTGGTGGAGAATCTTGCCTCGATATTGGTGGCTGCCGACTGATCAAGGTGTTAGCTGCTGAAGGTTGGGGTGCCTGTGGCGATTTCTTAAAATAACACTGAAGTTTGTCACATCAATTGACTCTTCCTTTCCTGTACGATTTCTTTTAGCATGTGACACTGTTCGATAGCCTTTTACCCACACAAGATAGTCTTTGAAAATTGGTATCCGTCCTTTTAGATCCTGCCACTGCTTCACGAACTAAATTTATGTAATATTCTAAATCCATTGTTCTCATTTTAACAATGTTCACAGCATCTTCACCAGGAGTACATTCTATCTCAAGAAATCACTTTCTTATCTGTAGAGGCAACTCCTCTTTGGTTCCAGTTTTATCATGAGATTTCAGCAATTCAGTCACATCATCAGGCTCTACTTCTAATTGAAGTTCCCTTACTAATTTGTACCACGTCTGCAGTTACTTCCTCCACTGAAGTCTTGAATCCATCAGTAATACATGACGGTTGGATGTAACTTCTTTCAAAGTCCTCTTACTATTGCTATTTTCACCTCCTTCCATGAGTCACACTGTTTTTGTTTTGTTTTGTTTGAGACGGAGTTTCACTCTTGTTGCCCAGGCTGGAGTGCAATGGAGCTGTCTCGGCTCATTGCAACTTCCGCCTCTTGGGTTCAAATGATTTTCCTGCCTCAGCCTTCCAAGTAGCTGAGATTACGCCCGCCACCACGCTCAGCTAATTTTTTGTATTTTTAGTAGAGACAGGGTTTCACTGTGTTGGCCAGGCTGGTCTCGAACTGCTGACCTCAGGCGATCCACCCCGCCTCAGCCTCCCAAAGTGCTGGGATTACAAGCGTGAGCCACTACACCCGGCCTGAGTCACATTGTTCTTAATAGCATCTAGAATGGTGAATCCTTCCCAGGAGGTTTTCAGTGTACTTTGCCCAAATCCATCAGAGGAATGGCTGTCTATGGCAGCTATAGCCTTATAAAGTGTATTTCTTAAATAATAAAACTAGAAAGTCAAAATTACTCCTTGATTTGCAAGAATTACTGCCTGGCTGCAAGAATGGATGTTGTGTTAGCAGGCATGAAAACAACATTCATCTCCTTATACATCTTCATCAGAGCTCTGGGTGACTTAGGTGCATTGTCAGTGAGCAGATTTTTGGGTTTTTTTGTTTGTTTGTTTGTTTTGAGACAGTCTCCCTCTGTTGCCCAGGCTGGAGCACAGTGGTGCAATCTCAGCTCACCACAACCTCTGCCTCCCAGGTTCAAGCAATTCTCCTGCCTCAGCCTCCCAAGTAGCTGGGACTACAGGCACATGCCACCACACACGGCTGATTTTTGTATTTTTAGTAGAGACAGGATTTCACCATGTTGGCCAGGCTGGTCTCGAACTCCTGACCTCAAGTGATCTGCCCGCCTTGGCCTCCAAAAGTACTGGGATTACAGACGTGAGCCACAGTGCCCAGCCTAGCAGGAGTATTTTGAAAGAAATCTCTTATCTGAGCAGTGGATCCCAACAATGGGCTTAAAATATTCAGTAAAACATGCCATAAACAGCTGTGCTGTCATCCAGGCTTTGTTATTTTATTTCTACTGTCAATTTATCTTAATTCATAGGGGCCTTAGGATTTTCAGAATGGTCAATGAGCATTGGCTTCAACTTAAAAGTTGCCACAGCTGCATTAGCCCCATAGGAGACTCAACCTGTCCTTTGATGCTTCAAAGCCAGACATTGACTTCTCTTTAGCTATGACAGTTGTAGATGGCATTTTCTTCCAGTAGAAGACTGCTTTGTCTACATTGAAAATCTGTTGTTTAGTGTAGCCACCTTTATAGATCAATTATCTAAGCTAGACTTCTGGATAACTTGCTGCAACTTCTGTATCAGTACTTGCTAAGTTTGTTTTTCTTCTTTTTAAAATCCTTTTGTTTGTGAAATGAAGAATGGACTGTTTTTTTCAGTTCCTATGGTTAAGTTGGCAAACCTGTTCTTGCCCTATTTATGTATTTATGTTGGTTTGTTTGTTTTGTTTTGTTTTTAGTTACAACGTAAGTCTTTTCCTACATTGTCTTCTTAAATGTAATTCCACTTGACATGAAAACTTTTAATTATGAGAATATGGAGAAGGAGAATTAGTTATTATTATATAGGTCATTCAGGTCAGTGGTTCCTAAATATCTTTTAAACTTTATATGGGGAAAAAGAGATATGTATATAGGTTTTTAATGTATTTATTTAATTAGTTTACTTGTTCATAAAATCCCAACTTCTGGAAACTACTGAGATTCTGAGAGGTGATGTTACATACCCAAGTCACAAACACAAGACATTTACCCACCTTACTGGTACCCTTCTACCCTTATTATTTTCTTCCACTAGGTAGAATTCCACCAGGCAAAAAGATTGATCCTACGGAACAGGGGAATTGTTAAGCTTTCAAAATAAATAAAAACATGCCAGTAAATTTTTGTTCTTAAATGTTATATATAACTCTACTCCAACCTCTAAAATATACTTGTTATCATAGGGATAGAAGCATATTAAATATAGTCGGGCGCGGTGGCTCACGCCTGTAATCCCAGCAGTTTGGGAGGCCGAGGCAGGTGGATCACAAGGTCAGGAGATTGAGACCATCCTAGCTAACACAGTGAAACCCTGTCTCTACTAAAAATACAAAAAATTAGCCGGGCGTGGTGGCGGGCACCTGTAGTCCCAGCTACTTGGGAGGCTGAGGCAGGAGAATGGCGTGAACCGAGGAGGCAGAGCTTGCAGTGAGCCAAGATCGCACCACTGCACTCCAGCCTGGGCGACAGAGCAAGACTCCATCTCAAAAAAAAAAAAAAAAAAAAAAAGAAGTATATTAAATATTTTATGGCTGGGCGAGGTGGCTTACACCTGTAATTCCAGCACTTTGGGAGGCCGAGGCAGACAGGAGTTTGAGACCAGCCTGGCCAACATGGCTACTAAAAATTCAAAAATTAGCTGGGCATGGTGGCATGCACCTGTAATTCCAGCTACTTGGGAGGCTGAGGCAGGAGAATCTCTTGAACCTGAGAGATGTTGCTCGCCTGAGCAACAGAGCGAGACTCCATCTCAAAAAAGGTATGTTAAATATTTTGCCTCACATTGAGATCTTGTTAGCATTTGCTTCTGGTGAATAGACACATTGCAGACTGTGAAAGAAAACTAAGGAAAGCAAATTTAGAATTCTTACTGGGTTTTTTTGTTTGTTTGTTTTGTTTTGGAGACAGAGTTTTGCTCTTGTTGCCTGAGCTGGAGTGCAATGGCGCAATCTCAGCTCACTGCAACCTCCGCCTCCCAGGTTCAAGCGATTCTCCTGCCTCACCCTCCCGAGTAGCTGAGATTACAGGCATCCGCCACCACGCCCGGCTAATTTTTGTATTTTTAGTAAAGACGTTGGCCAGGCTGGTCTCGAAGCCCTGACCTCAGGTGATCCACCCGCCTTAGCCTCCCAAAGTGCTGGGATTACAGGCATGAGCAACCGTACCCGGCAGGATACTTACTTTCTACATGTACTTTATAAAAATTATTTTTCCATTTTATTGTGAGATTAGTTTAAGTGCCAGAAATTTTTTTGTGTGGAATATTTTACTAACTCCTGACAGAAAATGCAGAACTTCCCAACTGTTAATTAAATCTTTATAACATCCTGAGGATATAGAAGGGAGCTCATGATCTCCCTAGAGCATCTTTGACTCCAGCAGGAGTAAAATACCCAGTAGGTTTTCCTTTTTACAGGCAATGACTCAGGCTAAACGTATATGTGTTCATGTATTTACTTAGCCTCTGCTTTCTTTCATATTTCTTCTCTTAATTTTCATCATTTCCAGAAACCACAAGCTGTGACTGTCCTTCAAGTTCACTTAATTTTTTTTGGAGACGGAGTCTTGCTCTGTTCACCCAGGCTGGAGTGCAGTGGTGCAATCTCGGCTCACTGCGACCTCCATCTCCTGGGTTCAAGTGATTCTCCTGCCTCAGCCTCCCAAGTAGCTGAGATTACAGGCGTGCACCACCACGCCTGGCTAATTTTTGTATTTTTAGTAGAGACAGGGTTTCACCATGTTGGCCAGGCTGGTCTCGAACTCCTGACCTCAAGCCATTTAATTGTGTCTTTGAAGGTAAATAATATGTGGAACTGGATCCCAAATCCTGAGAATGCCAGAACTACAGGTCCAAAACATGATGCACTATTCTCAGCAGAGTTCAGAAGGGTCAGAACTCAAGGTGTTATGAGGCAGAGAACACATGAAATTCGTGCATTCCATTTAGCAGCCCCCATGAGACCAGAAATACACCCCAGGAGTCTTTGAAGATGGGGATAATTCAACTCCTGGTTTTATAAATAGAAGAATGAGGAGTACCAAAAATGTTATGTTGAATTCTCTTCATTTTTCTCATACAATCTGAAGCCTGAGCTATCTTATCCTCAACTCATAGCAGCTGATGCTGCAGTTTAGGTTTGAGATCAGTCCCTCTATCCATTCAAGAGTGACCCGAGGCATAGAGCTCTAATCAGGACAGCTTTTTAACAAGAACCTTCTAGTGACATACTGGTTTAGTTTATAAGATTTTAATTTACAAATTTAAAAAGCTGCATCTTTAACTTTTTCTCCTTTTTCTTTTCTTTCTTCACATCACTCTTTTCCTTATCTATATCTTACTCTTTGTCATCTTTTCTATCCTTTTTGCTCCCTTCTGTTTCCTGCCCTTCTTTCTTCTCTACATCCTGATTGGCAATCTTGTTGTTGATGAAGTTGTGTAGGGCAACTATGGAATGTGTCAGGGAGGCAGAGTACCCCACTGCCATTTGGTCGTTGATCTTCAGGTACAAGGCCTTGACAGACTGCTGCAGGCTGATGTCTGGCAGCAGATTGAAGACTTCCTGCAGCTAATGATCTGGTGGTTGATTGGCAGCTTGCCTGTGGCTGTTTTTTCCAGGTAGCTCCTGATATCCAGAAGCTTGGAGTTCAGCCTCCTCAAACCATGGACCTCTTTGTGATCAGCTGGTAAAGACTGTCCACTGTAGCATCTTTGATGTCTTGTAACAAGTGTTCAGCTCCAGCTGCCTCAGCTTCCTCTGCTCCAGTTTCATTAGCCACATGCTCAAATGTTTTTGAGGTTGGAGCACCATCATCATGGACTTCTCTCACTGAAATATATGCTTCTGTGGGCAGCCCCAGATCCTTTAGTTTCAGTCAGTAATACCAATACTGAGTTAGGTTAGTGTCTTTTCTTGAGTTCATTGATGGCAATGTTACTCTTGTGTAGTTTAGGGCCTGTGTGGTACCACCCAACTATTCTTTGGCATTAATTTTCTTAAACATTCCATACATGTTTTCCAAATAATCATGGTCTAAAAACCAGACAGAATGATTTTTGTCATCTTCATCAAAAGGGACTCCAGAACTGTTGGATACATCAAGTACTTTTGTCTGCCATGACCCCAAAAGCACACCAACAATGCACTGCTGGTTTCCAACCTTGCTGATTCGGTTGAAATGATCCACCACACTGAGCAGCACCGGAAGGTGGACCACTGCCTTCTGCACTGCCAGCTCTGACATCTTGACACACACCGCCCACTAGGCCTAGCTCCCTGCAACCCACAAACTCCAGCAGTAGCAGCAACTCCTGTGAAGACTACTTAATTTTTTAATGAAAAAAATGTGTGTGCATGGGCAGGTATGAATTTATGTATAGTCATGCATTGCTTAATGATGGGAAAATGTGAGAAATGTGTGGTTAGGGGAACATCAGAAAGTGTACTGACACAACCTGGATGGTGTAGCTTACTACACAACCTAGGCTATT